>NC_000001.11:58493228-58644744 GCF_000001405.40 Homo sapiens | reverse complement strand
GGGGCCCTACAAAGCAGTTCTCCAGAAAATTCACATCTCCACAGTCCCACTTGCTAGCGTCCCCCTCGCTGCCCTTTTACATCTCCTGAACATCTAAATGGCAGAACCCAATCAGCATGCAGAACTCTGATATTCTGGGACTTGAAATGGTTAGTTTTCTAACCATTCCAGCTAGAGGAAGGACCTGGAATACAGGTGGAGAGTCGATCCACACAGTCCAAAGGAGGCAGCTGCATGCGAAGGTCCTGCTAGGTGGAAGGCGTACCCTCTATAGACAGAGGACAGTAGAGTACCTGAAGGAGGAATCGTTCCTGATTTAGGTTCTCTGGGGAAGGGAAGGGTGTCTTAGATCAGATAACAACAGACAGGGGGCTCTAATAGCTGTCTTGGCCTTCACCGTGAAGTTGGGCCTATGTTGTGAGTAGAAATATATCACTTAAGAATATACTGGAGAATATTCTTATAATACTTGCCTTTCAAGCAATGCACAAAAATCAGAAGCCACAAGGGAAAAATATTTTTCCCTTCATGGTAAAAAAAAATTAAACAATTAAAATCCATAATACATAAAGAACCCCTTAAAGACAACAAGATTGAAACATTCAATGGCAGCAGGTCACCTACATGCTTTTCCATAGACTGGTGTGTTGTACGTGCTCTATCTTCTGTCAAGAGCATTTCCACTCTAGCCTACCTGGAAACCCTCTATTAATATCTTAACCCTCTTAGTAATGTATCTTCTTGATGCGTTGCCTGATTTTCTCTCTGTGGTGGATACTGAGGTGCATGGCCAGATTGTCCTTCAGGGTCAGGGGGCCAGTCTCTCCAGCTGCCAAGGCAGCTGAGTCTTGTACCTCTACAGAAAGAAGCTGGTATCCAATGATTAGTTATCCAATGACTGGTAACTATAGGAGTACAAATACCTGGAGTCCTTGCCTCAATAGGACAACTCAGTAGAGACATGCCAGCTCCAGAGATGCTCATGGGATTGGCGATGGCCTCTGTTCAGCTTTTCCTGTGTCCAAACAATCCTGCCTCCCTCACCCCAGACAAGTGTTGTTGCCAAGAGTACTTCCCAAAAAACTCTTGCAAATCTCACCAGAGTATCAGAGTCTGTCTGGGAACCTGAACTATGAAACTCTACTGTTGATGGTTTATAGATTTTTTCCATAGTGATATGTGTCAATTTGTTTCATTCATCTTAATGGCATCCCATTATATAAACATACTACAGTTTAGTTATTCTTCCCTTTCGATGAAAATGTAGGTCATTTCCAATATTTGTGATGTCACAAACTGTGCTGCTGTTAATACGTTTTTGCATCTCTCCATGAGCATGTGTGTGAGTTTCTCTGAGATGTATACCTAGAGATGGAACTGCGAAGCCAAAAGGTATCTGCAACTCCAAGTTTACCAAGATTGCCAAATTTCTCTTTGAAGTTGTATTATTCATAGACACTCCTGTTACCCTTGCATCAGAATGTCACTTGGTATCGTCAGACTTTTAAATGCTTGCCAGTCTGATGGGAGGGAAATGGTATTAGATTATTGTTTTAATTCTAACTTCTTGGGTGATTGGGGAGCTTGGGCATCTTTTCATTTTTGTGGAGGGTGATGGTGTATTCCTCTCCTGGGAATTGTTCATTTTTCTTGCTCATTATATTAGGTTGTTTGGCTTTTCTCATAGATTTGCAGCAGTTTTTTATATTTGAGTTACAGATCTTTGGTTGTTCATATGCATTACAAAATTATCTCCCTGTCTGCAGCTTCTCTGTTAATTTTCTCAGACTTTATTTTACATATATAACTTTTAAATTTTGAGAAAGCTGAAAATATTTTTATTATTTATATTATGACATATGGGATTTTAGGTGGGAAGGTCTAATTTCCTATACTAAGGCCCATAATGTTATTTTTATGTATTATTTTTTCCCCATGTGTGTACTAATTGTCTCATTTCATTTGTTGAATAGCCTATCCTTTTTTCACTGATTTTTAATGCCACCTCTAGCAAGTGTCAAATTCCAATAGATGCCTGGCTGTTTGGGGCTCACTATTCTGTTCCCTTAGTCTGTCAATTTCTGTGACAATTCCTTACCACTTTAGTTTCTAGAGCTTTATGATAAGTCCTGATAGGTGATGCAGCAAGTTCTCCTCCTTTTTTTTTTTTTCAAACTTGTCTTTGCTAATATTGGCCCTCTAATAAATCATGTTAATTTTAGAATCAGCTTGACAAGTCTCACCTGAAACCTGCAGCCCAAAGTGAGAACTTCCATCCCTGTGTGCCCACTCTCTCCCGATTTGTTCTTTCTGAATAATGTCCTCTTACCAATCAAATGTTGACTTTTCCAAAACTACCTACAGGCTGCCCAGCTCTCATGCTGTGCCTGTAAAGACACCAGACTCAGCCAGTAGAGAGAAGCAGCTAGACATCAGGAAGAACCAGCTAGGCATCCCCTAAGGGGAATGGGGCAAAGGGAATGGAGGTGCTTTATAAAATGAGTCTAATGTCCATAGAAGGACATTCAAATACATACTCTAATGTAGATGGGCCTTGTGAAGCAAAGGACAGGCACGTGCTCCCACACATATAGTGAGAACCTCTCATTCTAACTTACTTGGAACATGGAGCAAAGTAGATCAGGAATGGAGAGTAGGGATGTGGAGGTGGCAGTCTTAGGAGGCAAAACTCCCTGGTGTCATAGAGTCTCAATACTTGTGCAGAACACTATAAACCTTGTCTAGTGGGAAGTAGACAAGGGGGCAACATAGAGGGAGGCTTAGAGAAATAAGGATGAGGCCCATATTTAAAAGGCAAGAAATACATGTGTGGTTTGGTTCACTTAGACCTTCAGGGAATCTGGGAAAACATTGCTACCCACTTATACACTGCCTCACACGTGAGAGCTTCTCTCCAGGGAAAGAAATTGAGGAAAGGGACTTGGTTTATGTCTTGTGGAAGATAACAGATATAGGTGATTCTCATTATTCACAGTACTTCCATTCTATAAAATCACTATGAACACAGAATTATGAAAATTTGCTCCTACAGGATATACAGAATTAGGCTCCTGTGAGCCTCTAGTCACAAAATTTTTCTCAGTCTATCAATACATAACCTAATCTTATGTGTGTTTTTGTTTAAAGGCACCTTATTTAATATATATTGTTAATTCATTAACATTAAACTCATGGTCAACAACAATATAACTCATGCTTTCACGAAACATATTTAACATGCATATTTTTTCCATAAGGCACATCACAGCCTTCTTGTATTTAGGAACACTAGGCAGCACTTCAGCCTCTATTTGGGGGTCACTTTAAACAGCAAAATCAACAGAAATCATAAAAATACAAAAAGCATGGCACTCAAGACTTCATCTCTATTTATGTGTTGTTTGCTCTGTCTGGCATTTTATCCCTGCTCTGTCTTCCTGACTGACTCAGTTATCATCAACTTCTCCAACAAGTTTCCCCTGACTTCCCATTTCCCAGCACAGGACTAAGCCCCAGCAACATTGGACTTGTTGCCACTGCTTACTTCTTAAATATGAAATTGGTTTTTTTTCCCTTTTTCGCAAAAGGGGGTGCTCCTTGAGGGCTGAAATGGCTCATCTCTATCTCCAGGGTCTAGCACAGCATCTGTCATATAGTAAATGCATAGTAAATGTTGGATGGATGGATGGATGGATGGATGGATGGATGGATGGATGGATGGATGGATACATGAATGAATGGATATATGGATGGATGGATACATGGATGGATTGATGGGTGATCTGTTTAGGATACCATGGCCAGCAGATGGAGTGACAAGGACCCAAAGGCAAGCCTTCTTTCCATACTCTTAATTCTGGATCACCTAGCTTTAAAATCAGTTCTCCAGCCTCCCTAGTTTACCAAATTACACCTGCCATTGCAGGCTGCTACAGGTAATAGCTACATGCCCTAAAGCCCCAGTTGCTCAGATGGAAGGCTCCATGCCCAGTGAGTACAGGAGGTAATTTGTCAAGTAGGCTTTTTGTGTCCTGGACTGTATGTTGCAGACCCAGCTAATGAAATCTTCATTGCAATTAGAGAAAATATTCCTGCAGCAGGTTGAAGAGATAATCACTGTCTAATTGCATTTTCTCCAGTATTTTAACCCAATGGTTTAGAAAAATAATTTTGAAATGTAGTTTTTATAATTACCTTTTCCAAGGGATCTGTTCGGTATTATAATCATCATCATCTAACAGTTTTGAGAGCTTACAATGGGTATGCTGTATTCTGAAGGCTTTGTATGCATTACCTCCTTTAGTTATCACAAAACCCCCATGAGGTAGGTCCTGTTATTTACCTTATTCTATAGGTGAGGATACTGAGGCTCAAATGGATTAAGAAACTTGCTCACCCCTGGGAATGGGGCTGAACTAGAACTCTATCTCAGACCTGTCTGCTATCAAGGAGCATGATTTTATCCACTTGTCTCTGCTGCCTCCACAATTTTCAAAGGATTCATTTATTCAATCAATTTAACAATTTTCTTATTGTTAATTAGTGTCAGGCACTATTTTAGGTGCTGGGGATACAATAGAGAATAAAATAAAGTCCCTGTTTGCACGGAGCATACATTCTGAAGACAGGAAAACAGATAACGAATAAACTAATAAATATATCATGTATCAGGTACTGGAAAGTGCTATGAACAAAGGTAGAGAGTATGACAGACAGCACTATTTAAAGAGTAGATATACAGGCTGGGTGCGGTGGCTCATGCCTGTAATCCCAGCATTTTGGGAGGTCGAGGCAGGCAGATCAGGTCAGGAGTTCGAGACCAGCCTGGCCAACATGGTGAAACCCTGTGTCTACCAAAAATACAAAGATTAGCCGGGCCTGTAAAATACAAAAATACAAAGAGTGCATGCCTGTAATCCCAGCTACTCTGGAGGCTGGGGCAGGAGAATTGCATGAACCTGGGAGGCGGAGGTTGCAGTGAGCTGAGATCACGCCACGGCACTCCAGCCTGGGTGGCAGAGTGAGACTCCGGCTCAAAAAAAAGAAAAAAAAAAAAGAATAGATATATAGCTATGTAACTAAATATCTCAGACTAGGTACCTTGGAGACACGCTCTGAGCCTGAGATTGCATGCAGGTTTATTGGGAGGTGCTCTCGGGATATTTAACTCTAAGGAAGTGAAGAGAGCAGGATTGGACAGAGGGAGAAGCTGAACTGCAATATAATTGCAACTGAGCCCTCAGCCCATCCTACAGTGGCCCCTGCAGTTGAGAGGAACCTTCAGAGCTGTCCAAATTGAGGCAGAAACGGCAGGGTCTTTATATCCGGGCATCAGCCAGGTGGTGATCCCTCGCCGTTGCTGGGAGAGAGTGAGACAGCTCCCTCTGGCCAAAGGCAGTGCCCAGTAAGGAACACGTTTTGAAGTCTTTGGAGTTGTTTCTGGATGGTGGATAGTCCCTGTCAAGCCTTTATTGTAGAGTTGTTAGCTAGTGCCAAAGAATTAACTGTCTAAGCCTCCACTCTCCATCTTTACATGCTAGAATAATAATACCTCTGTCAAAAGGGTTGCTAGGAGGGTCAGAATGATAAAATGTTGACAAATGACCCTAGAGAAAAATAAAGGAGATAAATGAATTAAGGAAATATGTACTGCAGAATAGTACAGATCATGTATGGAAAAAAATGATCTTAACCTGAAGTGATGTGGAAAGACAAGACATATGAGAAAAATGAAGAATACAACACTATGTACCCTATGATGGCATTTATCTTTAAAAGAGATCTATTTGTATCTATATAAAAAGATAAATGGAAAGACATAAACCAGTGTTGACTATGGGTGCAGGAGTTAGCTGGGGGGCTGGGAGAGGCAGGCAGAGCTGGAGTAGAGGTAGGGTTGGAACTAGGCTTGTCGGACGGGAGAAGATGGGCATAGAAGGGGTTGCAGCAGATGTGAGCAGTGCATGGCAGTACAGAAAACAAGTTTGGGCAGGACTTCAGAGATAATTTGCTATCCAGGCTTGCTTGTGTTCTGGAGTCAGCATACATGAGTTCAGACCCCTCCTCCACCACTAAATATATAATAGCTCCATTTAGTGGAGCAGCTTGGGCAAGTCAATGTCTCTGAATCCCAGTTTCTTTATCGTTTAAATGGGGCATGATAATACTCACTTTAAAGACCTGCTGTCAAGATTAGATATGATTGCTTCTGACACATGTTCACAGGGGACACTGTCATTAGCCCTAAGGGGCCACTTGGCATTTCTTCCCCTTCTCAACAAGGAGCAAGGAGTCAGAAGAACAGCTTCCCTGGCTCAACATAAACACTCCAGGATGAATCAACTCTCCAAATGAGCAAGATTTCTGTATGCTTCCACATAGATAGAGGAGCAGTCGATTCACCTAGAACTCCTGGTAAAACAGTGGTTCACTTAGTTTTTCAACATTTTTCATTATAAAAAGTCAAAAAATAACAGATGCTGGCAACGTTGTAGGGAAAAAGAACAGTTAATACACTGTTGGTGAGAGTATAAATTAGTTCAGCCATTGTGGAAGACAGTGTGGCAATTATTCAAAGACCTAAAGACAGAACCATTTGACCAAGCAATCCCATTACTGGATATATATCCAAAGGAATATAAATCATTCTGTTTTAAAGACACATGCACACATATATTCATTGAAGCACTATTCACAATAGCAAAGATGTAGATCAACCTAAATGCCCATCAGTGATAGACTAGATAAAGAAAATGTATATATACATGATGGAATACTACGCAGCTATAAAAAAGAATGAGATCATGTCCTTTGCAGGGACATGGATGGAGCTGGAGGCCATTATCCTTAGCAAATTATCACAGGAACAGAAAACCAAATACCACATGTTCTTACTTACAAGTGGAAGCAAAATGATAAGAACACATGGAAACATAGAGGGGAACAACACACATTGGGGCCTTTCAAAGAGTGGGAGAAGGGCAAGGATCAGGAAAAATAACCAATTGGCACAAGGCTTAATACCTGGGTGATGAAATAGTCTTTACAACAAACCCCCATGACACAAAACCTGCATTAGTACCCCTGAACTTAAAAGTTAAAAAAATTTTTTCATCAATTTATACATACACATAGCTTAAAAAAAAATGTCATGAGACTTATAATGAAACCCAGTTTCACACTCTAAAGGAAACCTCAGTTCACTCCTTGAGCTGTCTCACCAGTTATCTCATATTTCTAAACAAATGTGCTTCTTTTAATATTTCCTATTTTGTCAAAATTAGATGTCATCTATTATATTTCTGTGATAATCCATGCCTTTAGCATTCTTACACAATCTCCCATCCCCCACCTGCCCCATATCATTTGTTAAATTTAATTGGAAATTAGGGTTTATATTATAATGACTATGTAAATATAGTTATTCAATTTTGCTCAGACTGCTCATCAGATCTGCCATCTACCTATGCTTTGATTATTGTTTTCCAAAACTCTCATATCAGACTCTATTTGTCTCATTACCTTCTCTTTTTGTTTCAACATGGAGACATCTCTCCAGGAGCTCTGTCCACCTGCTATAGACGAGGCAGGCTGCTCTCTATGCCTATTGCACAGATGCCATTTGGGGAATTCTCTTTATTACCCTCCTGGGTAGCATCCTCTATTGCCTGGATTTCATGTCTTTTTCTTTCCCTAGTTTTGCTGGAGTATACCCTTTAAAAAGAAGATGGGACTGTGTGTTAGTCCTTTTTCATACTGCTGATAAATACATCCCCAAGACTGGGAAGACAAAGAGGTTTAATTGGACTTACAGTTCCACATGGCTAGGGAGGCCTCAGAATCATGGCAGGAGGCAACAGGCACTTCTTACATGGTGGTGGCAAGAGAAAATGAGAAGGATGCAAAAGTGGAAACCCCTGATAAAAACCATCAGATCTCGTGAGACTTATTCACTACCACGAGAATAGTATGGAGTAAACCACCATCAGGATTTAAATTATCTCCCACTGGGTCCCTCCCACAACACATGGGAATTATGGGAGTACAATTTAAGATGAGATTTGGGTGGGGACACAGAGCCAAACCATATCACTCCACCCCTGGCCCCTCCAAATCTCATGTCCTCACATTTCAAAACCAATCATACCTTCCAAACAGTCCCCCAAAGTCTTAACTCATTTTAGCATTAACCCACAAGTCCACAGTCCAAAGCCTCATCTGAGACAAGGCAAGTCCCTTCTGCCTATGAGCCTGTAAAATCAAAAGCAAGCTAGTTACTTCCTAGATACAATGGGGTACAGGTATTGGGTAAATACAGCCATTCCAAAGGGGAGAAATTGGCCAAAACAAAGGGGTTATAGGGCCCATGCAAGTCCGAAATTCAGAGGAGCAGTCAAATTTTAATGCTCCAAAATGATCTCCTTTGATTCCATGTCTCACATCCAGGTCACGCTGATGCAAGAGGTAGGTTCCCATAGTCTTGGGGCAGTTCCACCCTTGTGGCTTTGCAGGGTATAGCCCCCTTCTGTCTGCTTTCATGGGCTGGCATTGAGTGTCTGTGGCTTTCCCAGGTGCATGGTGCAAGCTGTTGGTGGATCTACCTTTCTGGGGTCTGGAGGACGGTGATCCTCTTCTCACAAGTCTACTAGGCAGTGCCCCAGTAGGGACTCTGTGTGGGGCTCTGAACCCATATTTCCCTTCAGCACTGCCCTAGCAGATTTTCTCCATGAGGGCCTCACCCCTGCAGCAAACTTTTGCCTGGGCATCCAGGCATTTCCACACATCTTCTGAAATCTAGGCAGAGGTTCCCAAACCTCAATTGTTGACTTCTGTGCACTCTCAGGCTCAACACCATGTGGAAGCTGCCAAGGTTTGTGGCTTGCACTCTCTGAAGTCATAGCCTGAGCTGTACATTTGCCCCTTTCAGCCATGGCTGGAGCATCTGGGACACAGTGCACCAAGCCCTTAGACTGCACACAGCAGGGGGACCCTGGGCCCGGCCCACAAAACCACTTTTTCCTCCTGGGCCTCCAGACCTGTGATGGGAGGGGCTGCCGTGAAGGTCTCTGACATGGCCTGGTGACATTTTCCCCATGGTCTTGGGGATTAACATTAGGCTCCTTGCTACTTATGCAAGTTTCTGTAGCTGACTTGTATTTCTCCCCAGAGAATGGGGTTTTCTTTTCTATTGCATAGTCAGGCTGCAAATTTTCCAAACTTTTATGCTCTGCTTCCCTTATAAAACTAGATGCCTTTAACAGCACCCAAGTCACCTCTTGAATGCTTTGATGCTTAGAAATTTCTTCCACCAGATACTCTAAATCATCTCTCTCAAGTTCAAAGTTCCACAAATCTCTAGGGCAGGGGCAAAATGCCGCCAGTCTCTTTACTAAAACATAACAAGAGTCACCTTCCCAACTGGTTCCTCATCTCTATCTGAGACCACCTCAGCCTGGACCTTCTTATTCATATTGCTATCAGCATTTTGGGTAAAGCCACTCAACAAGTCTCTAGGAAGTTCCAAACTTTCCCACACTTTCCTGTCTTCTTCTGAGTCCTTCAAACTGTTCTAATCTCTGCCTGTTACCCAGTTCCAAAATCACTTCCACATTTTTGGGTATCTTTTCAGCAATGCCCCACTCTACCAGTACCAATTTACTGTATTAGTCCATTTTCATGCTGCTGATAAAGACATGCCCGAGACTGGGAAGATAAAGAGGTTTAATTGGACTTACAGTTCCACGTGGCTGGGGAGGCCTCAGAATCATGGCAGGAGGCAAAAGGCACTTCTTACATGGTGAAGGCAAGAGAAAATGAGAAGGATGCAAAAGCGGAAACTCTTGATAAAACCATCAGATCTTGTGAGAATTATTCACTACCAGGAGAACAGTATGGGGGAAACTGCCCCCATGATTCAAATTATCTCCCACCGGTCCCTCACACAACACATGGGAATTATGGGAGTACAATTCCAGATGAGACTTGGGTGGGGACACAGAGCCAAACCATATCATTGTGTGTGTGTGTGTGTGTGTGCGTGTGTGTGTGTGTGTGTGTGTGTGTTTTCTGTTTGAATTATCCTCTGGATTTCATATATGTTTGCAATTGGCCAATAGCAACATTGCTTTCTTCTTGGTAATGTACTTCACACTCCTGAAGTCAAACAGTTATAACCAAAGTGTTACATAGTAATTTATTTATTTATCAAATATGATTGGAACCAAGGCCCTGTACAAGATTCTGAAATAAATAAGGGAGAGTCTCTGTTCTCAAAATTTTTATTGTTGCTGGGAAAAAAATATGTAAACAGGAATTGATATAATGTGGTCAATGTTATAGTGAAAACTTTATAAGATAATGAAAGAGCACCAAAAAAAGGACTTAACTCAGCTTGAGGAGCTCATAGAAGACTTCCTAGAATTGTGACGGCCTAAGTTGGGCCTAAAGAATGAAACTGCTTATTTATTTATATATTATCTTGTTACAACATGAATCTAAGATATGTTGCAAAATGCTTATCACATAAGAAAATCTTTTCAGGGCCAGCAGCTGTGCCTAGATCTTCCTAATCTTCTGAGTGTCAATACTTTCTCCAGTGACTTGAACCGAGCCTGGCATATAGTTGGCTCTTTAATACATAGTTATTGAATGAATGAAGGTCAGATGTGGTATTATAAATCAGTGGGGGAAAACATTAATAAATGGTCCTAGGACAGTGTATTATTCATACACATACAAGTAAATAAACAAAATTAATTCTCTACTTTACCTCATTTGTAAAAATAAATTACAAATAGAGTAAAGAAAATAACCTATAAAACTTTTTGAAGACAATATATTTATGAGATTAGAGTAGGAAAAGATTACTAAAATAGGACATAATGCATAAATCATAAAGATTGATAAAATAAAACTATCAAATGCAAAATTTGGTACAAGACACCAAAGATACTTGTCTTAGTCCATTTTTTGTTACTATAACAGAATACCTGACACTGGGTAATTTTTAATGAACAAAAATTTATTTAGCTCACAGTTTGGGAGGCTGGGAAGTCCAGGAGCATAGTGCCAGCATCTGGCAAGGGTCATCCCATGGTAGAAGGGCAGAAGGTACAAGTGAGCACAAAGGACAGAGAGAGAGGCACCAGGGGCCAGACTCGCTTTATAACAACCCAGTCTCATGATAACTAACCTGGTCCCACGATGACAACATTAAACCATTTATGACCAAATCACCTCTTATTAGGTCCTACCTCCCAGCACTGTGGCATTATGGATTTTTTCTAACATATTAACTTTTAGGGGATACATGAAACCATAGCATTCCACCCCTCCCCCCCAACACAAATTTATATTCTCAGAATGAAAAATACATTTATTCCATCCTCATGATCTCAAAAGCCTTAGCTCATTCCAGCATCAACTCAAAAGTCCAAAGTCTCATCTAAATCAGATATGGGTGAAACTCAAGGCATGATTCACCCTGAGGTTAATTCCTTCTAGCTGTTTGCCTGTGAAATTAAACAAATTATCTGTTTCCAAACTATAATGATGGGACAGGCATAGAACAGATATTCCCATTCTAAAAGGGTAAAATAGGCAAGAACAAAAAAGCGAAAGTCCCCAAGTAAGTCCAAAACCCAACCTGAAATAACATTAAGGCTTAAAGATGGAGAATAATCTCCTTTGACTTCGTGTCCTGCATCCTAGGCACACTAGAATAGGGGTTAAACCCCCAAGACCTATGGCAACCCCAGCCCCATGGCATTTCTGGGCTTACACTGGTAGCTCTACAGTTCTCAGGTAGTCCTGCACCCATGGCTTCACTAGGCATTATCCTAGTGGTGACTGTGTGGTGGCTTTGCTTCCATGGCTCCATTTGGCTTGTCCTAGTGGGGGCTCTTCTATAGTAGCTCCATCACTGTGACAAGTCCCTGCCTGGGCCCCCAGTTCTCTGTGATATACTTTAAAATCTTGGTATAGGAAGCCATGCCCCCACCACTCTTGCATTCTGCATGCCTGCAGACCTAGCAGTATGTGGACATTGCCAAGATTTGCCACTTCTACCTTCCAGAGCAGTGGGTCAAGCCACACCTGTAGTTGTTTGAGCCATAGTTGGGGCAGCCAAGAGCACTGCCCAAGCAAGATGCAGGATGCAGAGACCCAAGGCAGCCATGGGCAGTAAGCCCATGAAGGGAACCCTAGGCCCATCCCCCAGAACCATTCTGCCGTCCTAGAACTCTTGGCTTGTGATAGGAGAGGAACCCTTGAAGATTTCTAAAATGCCTTCTGGGTCTTTCTACCATTGTCTTGATGAACAGAGCTGTCTTCCTTCTATCCATGCTAATCTCTTTAGCAAAAGGTTGTTTGATTTCACCCTTGCATACTTTTTTTGTTCTTTACATGACCAGGCTGCAAATTTTCCAAATCTTTCTGCTCTCCTTCCCTTTTAATGATAAATTCTGTCTTTAAACCATTCCTTTCTTGTAGTATCTTACTATAAGTGGTTAAAAGTAGCTGGGCAGTAGCCTGAGTGCTTTGCTGTTTAGATACTTCTTCTGCCAAATGATCTAATTCATTGTTCTTAAATGCCATCTTCCATAAAGCCCTTGCGCATGGACACAGTTCAGGCAAGTTCTTTGCTATTCTATAACAAGGATGCCCTTTGATCTATCTTCCAATACCTTGTTCCTCAGTTCCATTGAAGACCTCATCAGAATGGCCTTTACTGTCCATAGTTGCATCAACATTTTGGTCACAACTACTTAAGTAATCTCTAAGAAGATTCAGACTTTCCCAAGTCAGCTCTTCTGAGCCCTCACCAGAATCACCCTTAATGCTCTGTTTATAGCAATACAAGCTTTTACTAACCTACTCTTCCAAATTCTTCCAGCCTCTACCAATTACCCAGTACCAAGCTGCTTTCACAATTTCAGATATTTTTATAGCAACAATCCCCCCTTCTTGGTACACATTGCCTCTCTTGATTCATTGTGTGTTGCTACAAAAGGACAACTGAGACTGAGTAATTTATAATGAACAGAAATTTATTTAGTGCATGGTTCTTGAGGCTGGGAAGTCCAAGAGCATGGCGCCAACATTTGGCAAGGGTCATCCCATGGTGAGAAGGACAAAGGTGGAAGTGAGAACATAAGACCAAAAGAGAGGGACCTGTGAGGTGTGCGAACTGGTGGCAGTGAGAGACTTCGGCGGACATGGCTCCCAGCGTGCCAGCGGCAGAACCCGAGTGTCCTAAAGGCTGTGCTGCTGGGGCCTCCCAGGGCCGGTAAAGGCACCCAGGCACCCAGATTGGCTGAAAACTTCTGTGTCTGCCATTTAGCTACTGGGGACATGCTGAGGGCCATGGTGGCTTCTGGCTCAGAGCTAGGAAAAAAGCTGAAGGCAACTATGGATGCTGGGAAACTGGTGAGTGATGAAATGGTAGTGGAGCTCATTGAGAAGAATTTGGAGACCCCCTTGTGCAAAAATGGTTTTCTTCTGGATGGCTTCCCTCGGACTGTGAGGCAGGCAGAAATGCTCGATGACCTCATGGAGAAGAGGAAAGAGAAGCTTGATTCTGTGATTGAATTCAGCATCCCAGACTCTCTGCTGATCCGAAGAATCACAGGAAGGCTGATCACCCCAAGAGTGGCCGTTCCTACCACGAGGAGTTCAACCCTCCAAAAGAGCCCATGAAAGATGACATCACCGGGGAACCCTTGATCCGTTGATCAGATGATAATGAAAAGGCCTTGAAAATCTGCCGGCAAGCCTACCACACTCAAACCACCCCACTCATAGAGTACTACAGGAAACGGGGGATCCACTCTGCCATCAATGCATCCCAGACCCCTGATGTCGTGTTCGCAAGCATCCTAGCAGCCTTCTCCAAAGCCACATCCTAGTATCAGAAGGCCAGGCGAAACTGCAACACTGCTCATCACCCGGTGGCGTGATCCCTGCTCTTAGGTGCTGGGCAGAGGGAAAGGGTGGTCAGGGTGAGGATGGTGAGGGAGGGCTGGTGAGGGGCTGAGAGGAATACTTGAAACAACAGCAGTGTTATTGTAATGTGGCAGTTTATTTTATACATAGGTGAGAGTTTTTAAAGTGTAAGGGAAAAATTAATTTTTTAAAAAACACCATGCTTGGAGGGTGGGGGTAGAAATAGAGAGACACAATATTATTTCTAAGGAATCGGGTTTTCATTTACTCTGGACTGGTGAAAATATTTTTTAAAGCCAGTGCTCTAAGACCTCAGCTTTTATCTCAGAACCCCATGGGTTCCAGACCAAGAGTACAGGAAATCAAATTGTTGTCCTGTCTGTCTATAGCTTGGAACAGGGAGGCTTTGATTACTGACCCCGGTTCCACACACTGTAAGATCAAAAAACCATTTCCACATCTGAAAGAGATGTAAGGTGTATTCATAGGGATGGTGGCTCAACAAATCAAACAAACTGGAATCAAGGGGAGGGAGAAGGGAATGAAATGGAAAGGGAGGCTGATTCCCTTCCCCTGACTTACCACTAATTTACTAGGCTACGTAATCTCATGAGTAACCTCTCACAGCTACCCAGCACATGCCACAATCCTATGCTCTTGCCTTCTTTTATCTGCAATGTGTGAAGGGACTCTTTTAAATAAATGAGCAAGTGTCCTAAGCTATGTCATCCAAAGATTGTCCTTTCCATTCTCAAATCCTGTGACTGGGATCACTCAACAGCACTGTGATGTATTATTTTCAATGAGGTGCCTTTCTTAACTGACCAAATGCTGCCTTGTTTGGCCCCTAAATCAATAAAATATGTTAAAATTTGAAGAAAAAAAAAAAAAGACCGTAAGAGAGGCACAAGGGTTAGGACTTGCTTTATAACAACTTGCTTATGATAACTAAGCCACTCCCACAGTAACAAAATTAATCCACTCAAGAAGGCTCTGCCCTCATGACCCAATCACCTTTTAGTAGTGCCCCCACCCCGCCACCCCAGCACACATGCACACACCACTATTGCTTTAGGGATTAAGTTTCCAACAGATGAACCTTCGAGGGAACACATTCAAACCATGGCAACACTTACCTATCATAGGATGTTGTCTAAAATTTCTCATCCACTGGAATTTGAAAGCCATATTTGTCAATCTGATAGATTTTGATTCTAAATGTAACCTTCCCATTTACTAAATATGTGACCTTGGTCAAAGAATTTAACATCTCTGAATTTAGGTTTCCTCTTCTGTAAAATGAGAATAATATAATTTTGGAGCACTACATTATGTGATAAATGTAAAGCTTTTAACAGTGTGCATGATTCATTTAGATGCCCAGTGTGTTAGGTGCTGTGGTTTTCAGGATAATTGAGTTACACTCTTATCCTTCACCTTTGAAGGACTTACAACCTATTGAGCAATTAAGACAAATAAGCAGATACCTAACTGCAGGGTGACAAGTGCTCTTCTCTTTACAGTGACCTCCTATAGATCAAGAAATAATGCACCCCAATCTGAGGAGCCACTTATTGACCTTATGCATCAGTCCCATTCCTCAGGGCTCTCTCATAGTGCTCCTGTTATCAACATGCACTCTCTCCTCAAGGAATCTCATCCACTTCTGTGGCTATGCTGAAAATTCCAAAAATTTTATCTCCAGCCAAGATCTGACACATCTACTTGAATGTCTAATGGACATCTCAAAGTTAGTATGTCAGCAACTAAACTCTTAATCTTTTTATGTCCCTAAATAAGTTCCTTCTCCACACTGACTCAGATCAACAAATGTCTCTTATTTCACTCAGGTACTGCAATTACTTACGACAGAAACTCAGGGCCATTTTTGAGAATTCCTCATTTCTTGCCCAAACCACATTCATTCTCCCATCAAAATACTTCTTAATTTTATCCACTTCCTTCTACCTCCACTTTAACCACACTGGTCTAAACCATCATCTCTCACCTCGATTTGTGCTATAACCACCTAAGAAGCCTCCCTGAATCCCCTATTACTCTTCATCCATTTCTGGTTCTTCATCCAAATCTTTAAAAAAATGCAAATCTTGTTGACTTTTCTTTTTCTTTCATGAAAGAGGATTCCGGTTGTACTTAAAATCTAAATCTCTTACCACGGTCCATAGGCCCCAGATCACCGGGCCACCACCCGTCATAATTGCCTTGTTTTATCCTCTTTGCTCATCAGCCTTCAGTGACATGGGCCTTCCTCAATTTCTGGAACACACTAAGTTCTTCCTACCTCAGGCCATGGGTGCATGCTCTTCTCTCTGCCTTGAACAACCCCAGCCTCCCCCTTGGTCTAGCTAACCCATCTCATTCTTTCAGGTCTCTGCTTAAGTTTCCCTGTTGCCCTTATCTAAATCAGATATTTTAAATTTCAAGTCATCCCCTCTTACTCCTTCTCTGTTTATCTATTTCAAAATATCTATTTATTTGTATGATCATTGTATGTGTTTATCTCACCTAAGAGACTAAAATTTCTATAAGGATAGAAACTATGTCAATTTTTTTGAATGATAAAATAAAAACTATTATTTTGTCCTTTGTTAGAGCTTTTATATTGAGCATATTTTGCTAAGCATAGCAGGAGCTTAGTTAACATCCTGGCTGCTCAGGAGATTTTTATAGTGCATTTTATAAATATATAGATCTGGGGGCTTCAAAACCTATTGAATCAGAATCTTTTGGGGGTGGAGCCCAGAAATCTGCATTTTTAACAAACTGCAAGTGATTTATTCCAATTTAGTTAGCCCATCTCTGATGCCTAAAACCAGCTAACCTCTAGAAAAATTCCGAAGATTGGAAACCAAAAGACATGGGCTTGAATTCTACTTTGTAAATTACTAAGTATGGAATTTTAGAAAGTCATTTAATATCTCTGATAGTTTCTATTTTTGGAAATTTGGAGTAATAAAAATATCTGCTTCAAAGTATAGCCGTGAAGCTCCAATGCACAATACATCTTAAAACATTTCATAAACTTCATAGTAAAGAAATGTTAGAATTTTTATTCATTAATGATCTCTTCCATATAGGGCTTGCCTCATCATTTCTGACAATCTAACTGGTGCAGCCCACACTTCTCCAATGCGATAGGATCCCTTTCTCTGTACTTCTGAAGAAGGACTAATAATAATAATTCACTGAGCTTTTTGCTTTTTTAAAGTTCCGGGCCATCATTACTTAGATCTGCATCATACCATACCCACAGCCTCACTAGCCCATTGGCTGCTAGGGAGGAAACAGCTCAGGCAGCAGCAGCAAACCCTGAGGGAGAAGGGGTGGCCTCACTTCCAGCAGGATGACAAAGATTGAGTCTGTGAACAGTAACAATGAAAGGCCACAACCAGGAATTGCAGGGAACCTCTGGGCAGTTTCTTAACTCTGATTTTCCCATGCTGAATCATTATAAAACTCCCTCAATTATTATTGGCTATCGCAAAATCAAGAAAACTGGACTCCCTATCAGAGATGTAATAATAACAATAATAAAAAGAACTCTCAAACCAAAGAAACTTGTTGTGCAATCTATGAAAATCCTGTAATCTCCCTGGCTTTTAGGAACCTTACATGTGGAGCAGGTACTTGGACCCGATGAATATATAAACAAGTAAATGAATGAACACAATTGCTTGCAAGACCATTGCTGGGGATACTTGTTTTTTGTCTTGGTGTATGGCACCCACAAGTTCTTGGTCTCTCAAGCCTAGGAGAGACTAAGATAATTAAGATACCTTAATTTGATGATTCCTCCAAACGAACAAATGAATTAACCCAGCTGCTTGCAAGATTATTGCTGGGGTTACCTGTTTTTTGCCTTTTCTGTGTTGGTGCATGGCTTCCACAGGTTCCCAGTCTCCCAAGCCAAATGCCTTAATTTGATGATTCCTCCCAGGTCTTCTTAATTTCCCATATCTTATTTCACTTCTCCATCCCATCTACCTGGCCTAGTGTACTAGTTGGGGTTCTCTAGACATACAAAACCAATAGGATGTGTATATACAGAGAGATTTATTTAAGGAATTGATTCATGATTATAGTGGCTGGCAAGCCCAAAATCTACAGAGTGGGCCAGTATGCTGGAGACACAGAGAAATGCTAATATATCAGTTCAAGTCCAAAGGCTACATGCTGGAGAATTCTCCCTTGCTCAGGGAAGGTCAGTCTTTGGTTCTACTCAGGCCTTCAACTGATCAAATGAGGCTCACCCAAATTATGGAGGTGAATCTCCTTACTCAAAGTCTACCAATGTAAATGTCAGTCTCATCCAACAGTCCTGTTACAGAAACATCTAGAGTAATGTTTAACCAAATGTCTGGGCACTGTGGCCTAGCCAAGTTGACACATTAAATTAACCATGACATCTAGTTCAGTCTTTCATTATTTCTCACCTGGACTATTTCTTCAGCTCCTAAGAGGTCTACCTCCTTTTATTCATTAATATATTCATGCATTCATTCATTCATCAATTTGAAATTCATTTAATAAAGCATCCTCTGCGCCAGGCATATTTCTAGTGACTGGGGATGTGGCGGTGAACAAGACAACACCCCTGCTTTTACAAAACTTACATTGTAGTTGGGGGAGATGACTAAAAAACTGGCCAACAAACACATAGGAAATATAATCTGAGGCAGTAGAAAGTGCTATTCAGAGAAATGAAGTTGGGTAAAGGAATAGAGAGTGGCCTGAGGGACAGCTCCATTTTTTTAAGTGGGGTCAGGCAAGAAGCCTTTGAGGGGTACTATTCTAGTAGGAATTGATGAAATAAGGGGGAAGACCAGGCAGAATACCATTTTAACAGAGAAAAAAGCAGACGCCAAGGTCCTGACAACCTTGGTGTGTTCTACGAATAACAAACAAAGACAAATGTGACTAAAACAGGTTGAGCAAGGGAAAGAATCCCAGGAGAGGAGTTTAAAATGTAGGCCTGTAACAAGATTATATGAGAAAAAGAAGATATTAAGGATGACTACATGCGTTTTGGACTGAGCAATTAACAAAACGGTGGTGCCGTCTATTGGGTGGGGAAGATTCAGGAAGAATGGGAACAGGATGCACATTTTTAAGAGTTCTACTTCCACCAATTTTGATGGGTTTATTAGATAACCTAGTACAGGCATCAAGTAGGATGTTGGATAAGTAAGCTGAAGCTCAAGGAAGAAGCTGCAGGCTGAAGATGTGAATTTGGAGTTATCAAATGTTATTTAAAGCCATGAGGCTGGAGAAGGTATGGTGAGAAGACATGAGAGGATTGAGACATAGGGGAGCTACAATCCTTAGGAGAGGATGTGCGTCTTCCTCTGCTAATGACTGTAGTTCCTCCTGGAAGAAGAAATGCATCCTCTTCTAATGCTTGTAGCTCCTCCTGGAAGAGGAGACACATCCACAGAAGGAGATTGAGGAGTAGCGGCCAGTGAGGTAGGAGAAAACCAGGAGAGGGTAGGGAGCGAGAACCAAGAAAAGAAAGTATTTTATAATACTGTGCCAAGTGCTACTCCTTTTAACAGAGTATTTAAATCTATTACATTTCTTGTGAATACTGAGGTATTTGGACTTCTTTCTAACATCTTATTTTATATTTCTATTTACCAATCTTTTTTCTTTGCTTCTTTATTTCTCATCTCATAGAAACTCCATGTGTAACTGTTTTAGGGGGAGTCCAGTTAGTCGGGCATAAACATGAATTTTTTTTTTTTTTTCCTAGGAGTTGCTTCCAAACTATGCTGTTATGATGTTCTTCTCCCACTGGGTAGTGGCTCCCTTAACGGCATCTTGGCTAGATTACTTAATTTTCAACAACTTTTAGTTAATAGTATAATCTAATTATTTTTAAAACCTTAATTTTGTTTATTTAAAAGAATATTTTTCCTGCCGGGCACAGTGGCTTACGCCTGTAATCCCAGTGTGTCCGGAATTGGTGGGTTCTTGGTCTCACTGACTTCAAGAATGAAGCTGCGGACCCTCGCGGTGAGTGCTACAGCTCTTAAGGTGGCGCGTCTGGAGTTTGTTCCTTTTGATGTTCGGATGTGTTCGGAGTTTCTTTCTTCCGGTGGGTTCGTGGTCTCGCTGGCTCAGGAGTGAAGCTGCAGACCTTCGCGGTGAGTGTTACAGCTCTTAATGCACTGCGTCTGGAGTTGTTCGTTCCTCCCGGTGGGCTCATGGTCTCGCTGGCTTCAGGAGTGAAGCTGCAGATCTTCACGGTGAGTGTTACAGCTCATAAAAGCAGTGTGGACCCAAAGAGTGAGCAGTAGCAAGATTTATTGCAAAGAGCAAAAGAACAAAGCTCCCACGATGAGGAAGGGGACCCCAGCGGGTTGCCACTGCTGGCTGAGGCAGGCTGCTTTTATTCTCTTATCTGGCACCACCCACATCCTGCTGATTGGTAGAGCCGAGTGGTCTGTTTTGACAGGGCGCAGATTGGTGCATTTACAATCCCTGAGCTAGACACAAAGGTTCTCCTCGTCCCCACCAGATTAGCTAGATACAGAGTGTGGACACAAAGGTTCTCCAAGGCCCCACCAGAGTAGCTAGATACAGAGTGTCGATTGGTGCATTCACAAACCCTGAGCTAGACACAGGGTGCTGATTGGTGTGTTTACAAACCTTGAGCTAGATACAGAGTGCTGATTGGTGTATTTACAATCCCTGAGCTAGACATAAAGGTTCTCCAAGGTCCCACCAGAGTAGCTAGATACAGTGTCGATTGGTGCATTCACAAACCCTGAGCTAGACACAGGGTGCTGATTGGTGTGTTTACAAACTTTGAGCTAGATACAGAGTGCCGATTGGTGTATTTACAATCCCTGAGCTAGACATAAAGGTTCTCCACGTCCCCACCAGACTCAGGAGCCCAGCTGGCTTCACCCAGTGGATGCGGCACTGGGCTGCAGGTGGAGCTGCCTGCCAGTCCCGCGCCGTGCGCCCGCATTCCTCAGCCCTTGGGTGGTCGATGGGACTGGGCGCCGTGGAGCAGGGGGCGGCGCTCATCGGGGAGGCTTGGGCCGCACAGGAGCCCATGGAGGGGGTGGGAGGCTCAGGCATGGCGGGCTGCAGGTCTCGAGCCCTGCCCCGCGGAAAGGCAGCTAAGGCCTGGTGAGAAATCGAGCTCAGCGCTGGTGGGCTGGCACTGCTGGGGGACCCAGTACACCCTCCGCAGCCGCTGGCCTGGGTGCTAAGCCCCTCATTGCCCTGGGCCGGCAGAGCCGGCCGGCTGCTCCCAGTGCGGGCCCGCCAAGCCGACGCCCACCCGGAACTCCAGCTGGCCGGCGAGCGCCCCGTGCAGCCTCGGTTCCCACCCGCGCCTCTCCCTCTACACCTCCCCGCAAGCTGAGGGAGCCGGCTCCGGCCTTGGCCAGCCCAGAAAGGGGCCCCCACAGTACAGCAGCGGGCTGAAGGGCTCCTCAAGTGCCGCCAAAGTGGGAGCCCAGGCAGAGGAGGCGCCCAGAGCGAGCGAGGGCTGTGAGGACTGCCAGCATGCTGTCACCTCTCACCAGCACTTTGGGAGGTCGAGGAAGGCAGATCACCTGAGGTCAGGAGTTCGAGACCAGCCTGGCCAAAATGGTGAAATCCCGTCTCTACTAAAAACACGAAAATTAGCCAGGCATGGTGGCAAGCACCTGTAATCCCAGCTACTCTGGAGGCTGAGGCAGGAGAATCACTTGAACTTGGAAGGTGGAGATTGCAGTGAGCCAAGATCGGCCACTGCACTCTAGACTGGGTGACAGAGTGAGACTCTGTCTCAAAAAAAAAAAAATCTTTTTTCCAAAAGATTTTTAACTTTTTGTTAAGAAAATTTAATGGAATTTTCAAATATGAACAAAACCAGAGAAATCCTATTCATGCTCAACTCTGATGTCATATCAAGTGCAAAGCTCTCCTCTTGTAGAGGCTGAATAAGGATAAGTAGGAGACCCATCACGCCCTGCTGTCAAGGGGCTCACCCTCAGCTGCCTCCTCAACGATTTGTGCTCCCTTTGGAGACTCGCTCATGTCTTCCGCCCTCTCGCCACATTGATGTCATGAATTCCTCTGAAGCCTGCAGCTCTCTTTTCAACCTCTATTCTGTCCTGGGCCTGGAAAGATCACAGCTCCCCATTGCCATGTATCTCTTAATCCACCTTCCATGTCTTTCGGGAACTTGCAGCAGGGGTGGGAGCAGCAAATCCCAGACCCGATGGCAGCGCCCACTCCCTCTAATTACTCTCCAGCTCTCTCTTCTTGCTCCTTTTACTCCATACCCTCTCCTATTTGTAATTTCATGATTTATTAAGTGCCTACTATGGATCAGGCACTTGGCTCAAAGCAGGGAACAGGTGGACATGACACTAAACTGTGATGCTGGGTTATATATTTTACAGACTTGAATAATCATTTTTAAAATTCAATTTAGACGTCACCTCCCTCCAGGAAGTCTCTCCAGATTCTCCATGCTGGGCTATGTACTCTCCTGTGTATTCCATTCACATCCTGACATGTCTGTCCCAGAACACCCTGCATACTGCATTACCATCTGTTTACACACCTGTCTTCCCCACCGTAAATGGTGGGCCCCTGAGGGGCAGGATTGTCTTATTTATGCCTTAATCCCTAGCTTGGTTCCTAGTACATAGTGGATTAAATAAAAGCTAAATAAAAGACTAATTGAATACATTTTCTTTATTAAGTCCTTCCGAGGAGGGTACCCATGAATAACACTTCTGAATAATTTGAGAAATAAGTCGATGAAGACGCAAGCCACATAGCACTTTTACTACTGATAGACGCTATGTCAGAGGATGTAGCTTAGTTTGAAGGCCAAGTGGGTCTGCCAGGGAACCATGGCATTAAGCAGACACCCACCCAGGTGAGGGGACACTGGGAGGGAGAATCAGCAGTGTACACTCCCCATGGGCAGGCTTACCCCCAAGAGCAAGATGGTTCCTTCACAGAACAGAAACATCAGGCATCAGCAAGAAATGTTCCCTATTATTGACTGTGTTGTGCCAAGCACTGTGCTAGACTCCATATCAGATTGCTTAATCTTTCCTAAAGCAGAGAGAGGTGAGTATCATTCCCATTCTACAGAAGAGGAAGCCAAGGTTCACAATGGGTAAGGAACTTTTCTGAGATTACAAATTGAGGAAGTGGTAGAGCCTGGTTCAGTTGTGTCATTAATAATTATAGTTAATCCTAAGCCAAGGATTGTGGTCGGCGGTGGGGGTGGAAATAATTATGGTTGAGATGTATTTAGGTGCTTACTGTGTGCTAGGCATGGGGATAACATTACCACATTTAATCCTCACAACAACCCTATGAGGTAGGTCGTGGTTATTATTATTTCATTTTGGAGATGGGGCAATTTAGGCCAAGCTCGCACAGCTCAGGGAGGATCTATCCTCTCCACAGCCTGGATTTTCAAACACCTCCCCCTTGCCTCCTGATTCTCTTATCATCCCTGCCTCGGCTAAAGCATCAGCAAATGAACAAACTACGCCCAACCACTGGACATCTTTGGATCCTCTAAGACAAAAAGCTCATTTCTAGAACAGAGATAAAATCTCCAAAGCCTGGGCTTGAATCTTGTCACTTGTCAGCTGTGGGATTCAGAAGAGTGAGTCCTCTGTTTACTCACCTACCAAGGGGAAATAACAGTTCCCTCACAGAGATTGACTGACAGGAAAATGAGCGAATGTGCTTCTTCACTAAAAATCACTTGAGGAGGCTGGGCGTGGTGGCTCATGCCTGTAATCTCAACACTTTGGGAGGCTGAGGCAGGCAGGTCGCCTGAGGTCAGGAGTTTGAGACCAGCCTGGCCAACATGGTGAGACCCCTTTCCTACTAAAACTACAAAAATTAGCCAGGCATTGTGGCACATGCCTGTAATCCCAGCTACTCAGGAGGCGGAGGTTGCAGTGAGCCGAGATCATGCCACTGCACTCCAGGCCTGGGTGACAGAGTGAGACTCCATCTCAAAAAACAAACAAAAACACCACTTGAAGAGGTTAAAGGATTTGGTGGGTTGACCTCTCAGGTCTCAGAGTCTCAGGCAGGAAGCAAGAGATCCTCTTGTTCCCCTGGAGGGTGGGTTCCTCTCTGGGTGTTAGTTTTGGTCTAGCGAGGCTGCTCCCAGGTGTCTTGCCCATGTCTAAGACTGGAAAGGATGCAGAGGTTCCCTGCCTTAGGGATGACACTGGGGTCGTGTGATAGAAAGTGAAGGACAAACCTTAGGCTGGGGAGGGGCAGGGCAATGGGAGCGGTTGGGGGCGGGTCTAATTGCTTCTGAGAACACAAGAGCTCACCTAATCCTCCCAGCAAACCTGAAAGGCCAGTATTACCTCTGTTTTTCAGAGAAGTGAAGATAATGAAATCAAACAAAACAAAACAAACAGGCGGTGGGAGGAAGTGTGTAGGATTGAGGGCTGGCGGAGGACTAGAAACAGAGTGAGAGAGTCACTGCAGATGGCCCATTTTACACTAGATGTGTCTGCACCTCTGTCCGCACAGGAGAGAAGTGGATTCTGAAAGCTGGCGGTTCTGGTGTAAAGTTGCTAATAGTGTGCCCACTTATAAGGTAAAAGGCCCGAGGCTGCCTGAGGTCCACAACTGTTGGGTGGTAGAAGAGAGGCTGGAATTCAGGCTGGCCTGATCCCTGCACCAGTGGGGTCTCTTTTTCTATGTTGTTACTAAAGGTGTTACCAGGAGCAGCAGCTTCAGCGTCCCCAGAAAGTTTGTTAAAAATGAATAATCTCAGGCTTCTCCCCAGTCCTCTTGGCCAGAATCTTCATTTTAACAAGATCCCCAGGTGGGGAGCCCTGTCCTTCACCACCTCTATGTTATCCCTCAGGTTCTCTTCCACCCAGCACTGGAGTGTGTCCCTGTCCTCACCACTTTAGCCCTGGTCCCTCCTGCAGCATGCACAATTCCCACTGCTCCTTTGATTCTGTGCCAGGCACCTGAGATTCTTGGCTTCCCTTCTTCTCCTGTCTCCACTTCAGCTGGTAAGCCCCTCAAGGGTATGAGAGTGTGGGATATTGTACGGCCCACACAGAAAAAACAATCCCTTTCATCTCTCTATTGTTGCCTGTAGACCTCATCTCTTTCTGATCTTTACAGCAACACTTCCAAGCAGATATGGTTACCAAAGTAAATGAGAGACTTGGCCAAGTTTTCAGAGCTGGTTTAGCTGAAGTGAAGGGCTCCTCCCAGTGTTTCCTTCCTTACCCCTCCCCCACAAAGGAAACCCCACTGCCAGTTTGGAGGTACTGAAACATGAGTATGGTACTTTTTTTTTTCAGAGAGCATGAAGTTATTGCAGGAATCAATCTGCTGGGATTCCCTCTGGTGGGCACATAGCCTGGTGCTTCTGGGAGAGTGGCCAGTCATGAGGCAGGCTTTCTTCCATGGCCGGGATCCCCGCTTTGGGAAAGTTAGCTCAAGCATGTGAGGCACTGAGCTCGGTAAGCTACAACTCCTGTTGTTCCCTGGGCATCAGTTTCCCCATAGGGAAAATGAAGATGTTCTGCTGGAGTTCATTGTTTCAATCTGTGGTCCGAACACCTCTGGAAGTGGGACTTTGAATCTAAACCAGCTTTGAGTTAAAGCAGAAAAGAAAAAGCAAATGAATCCATCTTGCCCTTGATTTCAAAAATAGCAGCCAGCTTGTTCCCCATTTAACATAGTAGGCTTCCTTATTAAAGTTTCTCTAAATATATATACATATATAGCCTAAAATCATTTTGAAAACCATGCGCTAAATATTCTCTGGGGTCTCTTCCAGCTAGTGCAGACTAGAATTGAGGCCTGATTCTTGTGACTTGGAATTTATTAAATGGGGCACTAGAAAAATAATTGTTGAGTGCCATCCTGTCATTTACTGAGTGACATGTCCTGATCTCTATGCTATTCTCTTTGGCCACTGTAGGGAAAACAGACCAGGGGGAATGAGTAGGACAGAAACCTCAATATCCATTCAAGACATTTTCTGTAGCAACAGAGCTGTGATTCTTAGCTGGACTCCTAGATGCCCAGAAATAGCCTGCATTTTCCAGCCTCCCAGGTAGCTAGATGTGGCTGTTAGCCAAAATTCTGACCATTGGCAGACAAGTGGAAGTGGTGGGCACAATTTGTGGGCCAGGCAGTTAAAGGAAGTGGGCATGCCTTCCTCTTCTCCAGGGCTTCCTCCCTACTGGATGGAAAGCAGACATGGGGGTGAGTAATACTGGATCCTATGAGCAGGGGAAATACCCTAAGGAGGGCGGAACCATGAAAACAGGGTGCCTGACACACAAGTCCTGGACTGCTTCCACACGGGTTGCTACATGAGTGAGAAACAAATTCCTGTCTTGTTTAAGCCACTGTTTATTTGGGTCTCTGTTAGAGTGACTAAGCTATATGTGTGCACTCACAGGCACACACAGACCATTTAATTCTGTGGACAAAAGTGGCAGCAGAGGAACCAGTCAGAAGCTTTTGAAATAGTGCAGGCAAAGATGATGGTGGCTTGAAAAAAGGTAGTAGCTTTGGAGGTGATGAGAAGCTCAGGTTCTGAAAATATTGCGAAGAGACAAGTGATGAAGTCTGACGGAATGAATGTGAGGAATTAGAAAAAGAGGAGAGTTAATTCCAAGATTTAGTAGAATGTGTTGCCAGATGGGGAAGATAGGGAAAGAACAGAGATAGGGTTGAAATCAGGAGTTCATTTTGGACACTAAGTTTGAAATGCTGAATAGACATCTAAGCGTTGCTTGGGCATTTAGGGTTCAGGCATCAAGATTTTGGAGAAGAAGAAATTAAATATAAAAACAAACACTACTTTAATGGCCATTAGACTCAATTCTACTCTCAGACATCTTAGGCAAAAATGAGGGGAATGAAACAGAGTTCCACATGAAAATCTAATTAAACTGCTGCCTTGTGATTTTCCATAATTGTGATAAGGCCTTTAATTAGCTGGCTCTACAGAGCACCGGGCACTGGGAAACCCACAAGGCAAATTACTGCTGTGCGCATCTTGGGACGCATGTCCTCACATCTGAACAGCTCAGAGTCCTCAAGCACATAATTACCCTCTGAGAAAGCTTTCCAGGATGAATGGCATTTGGGAAAGTTGGGAAGTTGGAGAACTGGATTTTCAATCCAAAAGATACAATGGAAAGAGTGATCAGAAGATCTGGCTTGGAGTCCTGGGCTCTTTACATAAGGACCTGATGATATGGGACAAGTCATCTAATAACCATCCATCCATCCACCCACCTGCCTCTCATCTGAATAGACTATCTCCAGGGTAGTTTCCTTTTTCTTGAATCTCTAGCATCTCTACACCATATGGTGCTTATTGCCCAAGTGTGATAACAGAGGAAACCACCTGGAACATAGAAATCTACAGAGCACAAAAGAAGGAAGGTAAGAAATAAAGGGGCATCTATCAGACAGGAATGGGTAACAGAAAGCTCCTTTTGTACTGGGGTTTAGGGCAGTGGAGACAGAGGGAGAAGAAAGCCCAACCTGAGGGCTGAGCTCTCTGAAGCAGGAGGTTTTATGAGTGAGATGTGGGGATAACAGGGCAGAATCATCTGTTTCTTATTTCTTAGGATCTAGCTCTGAAAAAAATCCCAACTCTCAGGTTCAGCATGGCATCATGTCCAACACAGTACAGACATAGTAAGGAGGTGCTTAGAGGCAACAGCGTAGAGGCTGCACACTAGTTTGGGCAGAGAAACAGAACATTCCTGCAAGCTCCAGTCCTGGGAACAGGAGCTAGAAGCCACAGACAGCAGGAACCTCACAACTAGAGGGTAAAGTAGGGTGAAGTCTTCAGCATCAGGGGCTATGGATAGATGGATGACACCCAGAAGACCACGGGTATTATGAATCTCTCAGTAGACATCCACTCAGAGTGCCCAGGGACCATGTTAAACCCGCCAACCCTCTGGAATTCACTGAGAACTAAGGGAACTCAGACCAGGGGTTCCACCTTCACCTGTACTCTCTTCCCCACCACCTTCTTGACCATGGAGATGCAGAAATACACACTTGTACCCAGATACAATCTTGGCAAAGAAGAAAAGGAGGAGTCTTTTGAATGAGGGGAGAAATGGTATTGATATTTTTTCAATAATCAACGCCAACATGACTGAATTCAGACTGAATTCAGTTGCAGACTGAATTCAGTTGCAAAGCAAACTGAATTGCCTTTAATTGGCAAATTTAAGGATTATTTTTCACCATCAGGAGGAATGGAGATGCAAGAGCAAAGTAGATCAGTTAATGACAAAGAAAATTGTGTTATTTTGCACATCAGAGTTTGCACATTTTAAATTCTGCTATAATTCTTTCACTTATTCATTCTTCCATTCATTTCATGAACATTTACAGAGCACTTACTTTCTTCCAGGCACTGGAGAGAGGGGGAGATGCATAAGATTTTTCTGCCCTAGAGAAGCTTAGAGATTGGGTTAGGAGGCACAAGATAAGAAGTGTTGCAATAGAGGTGCCAGTCCAGGTGGCTGAGAGAGCCCAGAGGAACAACAAAGGGCCCTCATCCCAGCCTGGGCGGACGGTCAGGGAAGACTTGCTGGAGGAGTTGGTGCCTACCCTGAGTCTTTAGGATGAGTAGGAGTTAACCAAGTGGAAAAAGACAGTCAGAAGTGGTGGCATTTATTCCTGTGTTTATTCATTCATTAATTCACTTAACTAGTATTTGTTAGATACCTACTATAAATACAGAAATAAATAAATAACCTATAAATAAATACAGAAATTGATATAAGCAATGGGGATACAGCAGTGAACAAAAGAAAAATCTCTGCCTTTGTGCATTTTGTATTCTAGAATGAGGAGAGAGATAGTAAGCAAACAACAGAAGAAATATGTAATATAACATCAGATAGGGAAAAGTGAAATGAAGTTGATGAAGGAGATACAGGAGATAATAGGGGGAGGTACGAAAGGGGCCATAGTTGTTATGCATAGAGTGGAGAGGGGAGGTGTTGATGAGGCAAGATATAAGTGGAAATTCATTTGAAATGAGAGACTAACACATTTGACCATCTAGAGGAACAGCATTCAAGATAAAGGGAACAGCAAATGTAAAATCTCTGAGTCTGGAATTTTTTTGGCAAGTTCAAGAAACAGCTAGGATGTTGGAGCACAGAGAATTTTTAGGATTATTCTTACAATAATCTGTATGATACTGTAATGGTGGATACATGTCATTTTACATTTGTCCAAGCCTATAGAAAATACAACACCAAGAGTAAACCCCAATGTAAATTGTGGACTTTGGGTGATAGATGTGTCAATATAGATTCATCAATTGTAACAAATATACCACTCTGACAGGGGATATTGGTAATAGGGGAGGTTGCGCATGTGTTAGGGCAGGGAGTATATGGGCAATTTCAATACTTTCCTCCCAATTTTACTGTGAACCTAAAACTGCCCTAAAAAAAATTAAGTCAAAAGAAAAGAGAAGGCCGAGCACGGTGGCTCATGCCTATAATCCCAGCACTTTGGGAGGCCCAAGTGGGCTAATCACTTGATGTCAGGAGTTCAAGACCAGCCTGGCCAACATGGCAAAACCACATCTCTACTAAAAATACAAAAAATGTAGCCGGGCGTGGTAGTGCGCACCTGTGGTCCCAGCTACTCGGGAGACTGAGGCAGGAGAATCGCTTGAACCCTGGAGGCAGAGGTTGCAGTTAGCCGAGATCATGCTACTGCACTCCAGCCTGGGTGACAAAGTCAGAATCTGTCAAAAAAAAAAAAAAAAAAAAAAAAAAAGAAAGAAAGAAAGAAAAGAAAAAAGAGAAGGAATATCTAGGAGGTCAATGGCTACAGCAGGGAGGGAGGGAAAGAGAGGTAGGGAATGAGGTTGACGTGGTATCCAGTTTAGACAGAGCCTTGCAAGCCATGATTAGGAGTCTGGATTTTATTGTGAGTCTGAGGATGCCTTGAGGCCATTGAGGTGGCAAGGCATGAGATAATTGGAAGCATTGAGAAACGTACAAATAGTCCGATATGATTTTCCTGTGAAGTTCACACTAGAGATCATAGAAAAATCAGTAGAAAAGCAAGCTGGAGGCTGAACATGAAAGGCCTAGCCAAGAAAGAGCTCTAAACTGAGAAAGTTGAGATTTATTCTGAGTGCAATGGAAGTAACTGAAAGATTTTAAGGAAACAAGTATTCAATTGACATGAGCAGATTGGGGTTTTGGAAAAATGATTTGTGGCCATTTTGGAAGACGGATTAGAAGAATAAGGAAATAGGATATGAGAGAGGAAGCAAAATAAGGGCATGGGAAACCAATCAGGCAAGATGGTGTCCTCATCCAGGTGACTGTTACAGGATGGACTGGTCCGAATGCCTGCTGCACAGTAATAGTCCAATGCACTGAGATAGCAGGGTTTGCAGTAAAGAGCTTAATGATCACAGGGCACCCACAATGAGATGGAAAGACACTCTCAAATCCTCCCCAGGAAGCTCTTGGCTGGGGTTTTTAAGGAGATCCTGGAGGGTGAGGGGCTGGAAAATTGGGGTCATTGATTGGTTAGATTGAGGGGTATAAAATCATAAGGATGTCAAAATTGCATTCTTTTGTGAGTCAGCTTCTCATGGGGTCCTTCAGACCAACTGATGTCCATAGTTTCATTGGCATGCAGGACTTGAAAGATGATCTCAAATAGAAAACGTAACATTGTACAATGTTCAAGTTGTTAAGGGGAGAAGTTAAGTTGTTAAGGAGAAGTTAAGGGGAACTATGACCTGTAACAGGGTCTACGTGATTCCGAGGCAATAGGCACCAAACAGCTATGAGGAAGCAGGTCTGAGAGCAAGCTGACCTAGTGCTTAATGCTGAATGTGCTGCAAGATTGGCTTATTTTTATTTCACCTCCTCCCTTCTTCCTTGATTAATTTTATACTATTTATAAGGATGGTTTCTGTCCCTCTGTGGGCTTGGTCATACTTCAATCCTGAAGTGAGAGCTAATATGGTGGGAACTGGGGGAAGATGACCCTAGCTTCTTCCTGTTGGCAAGGGGCACAGTTGAGGTAAGAGTCAGGATTAGAGGAATGAAACTGCCTTGGAGTAACCTGTAAGTATTTACAAGTGCTCAGTTGGGGATCTCAGGGGTGCAGTACAAACACCTTAGTGCTCCAATCCACTGTCTTAGCACAGCATTTAATTGCACACCAGACTATAAGATAATAATTTATCTTTTAGTCTCTGATAATATTTCATGAAACACAGGGCCAGAATCTGAAACTATTCAATCTCACTGGGACAATCTGTTTTCCATTGCCAACGCACTGCTGCTAAAATTATGCAATATCAAACATCCTCTCTCTAGGCCCAGGGACCATGACAAAAGATGTGGGCACATAAGATCGTAAGGGCCAGTTCCAAGGGATAAAATTAATTCAGACCTTTCAAATCAAGGACAGGTATACAGAAGCCTAAACAGCTGGTAGTTCAACGCATACAACTTATAGATAATTCAATTATCTATACGTCTTAGATAAATGCATATTTATAAATAAATTTATATTTATCTATAAATTATTATCTTATAATCTGGTGTGCAATTAATTATTATCAGAGCTGTGAGCTCAAATTTCAAAAGTCCTTGCAAAATAAGACTGAAAACTCTGGAATACTCATGAAATCTTACTGACACAAAGAGTCTGTTCTGTCAGTGTTATGACCTCCATTTTAACATTAATGCTGGCCAGTTGCTGTGTCTAGATGCTGAGAGGGAGACAGTATAATGAGACATGTCTGACCACCCATTCCATCATGGCTAGGAACTCAGGTTATAAGGTCTTTGTGGGTTTCCATTGGCTATAAGCAGAGTCTGTTCAGTTGGTAGGGGCTTAGAATTTTATTTTTAATTTACATTCCCTTTTTTGGTCAAGATATGCCAGAAGCTGCATTGATGGCCAAGCTTTTATTCTGTCCCATGTTGTTGCCGAAGTGGTATGGCTACCTGCCTTGGGTCCATCTTGTCCCTCAGTGGGACCCTATGGCCAAGGGACTTAGAGCCAAAAGAGTTTCAGCCAATTAAATGTGCCAGTTGCACAGAGAAAACTCACTAAAGATGTCTTTCAAATCTGGAAACTGTTCCTTTGGTGCAAGCAACTTATGTGCTGAAGGTTGGCACTGCCCTGTCAACAGCTCCTAGTACAATAGAACCTAGTGGCTACGTGGGCTTGTCTCTGGGCCTGTCCCAATTGTGCAGGGGCACTGAGCCATGGACAAATGCCCACAAGGGGCTCTAGGCTTGACTCACCAAAATTTTTTACCGGACCAACAGGTTTGTAGTCCCATGGCACAGTAATAGTCCAATACACTGTGACAGCAAAGTTTGCAGCAGAGAAAGAGTTTAATGATCTCAGGAAGCTGAGCAAGGAGATGGAAGGAGACTCTCAAATACATCTCCACAAGGACTTCTGGATCCACAAGGGGATCATGGAGGGTGGGAGACTGGAAAATTGGGGTCATTAAGTGGTTGGAGTAAGGGGTATAAAATCATAAGGATGTGGAAATTGCATTGTGAGTCAGCTTCTTGTGGAGTCCTTCAGACCAGCTGGTGTCCATAGTTTCACTGGCATGCAGGACTTAAAAGATGATCTCATATAGAAAACGTAACATTGTATAATGTTCAAGTTGTTATGTATAGAGCAGTTAGGGGGAACTATAACCTGTAACAGGGTCTACGTGATTCTGAGGCAATAGGCACTAAACAACTATGAGGAAGCAGGTCAGAGAGCAAACTGGCCTAGTGATTAACACTAAATGTGCTGCAAGATTGGCTTATTTTTGCTTCTCCTCCTCCCTTCCTCCCTGATTAATTTTATATGGTTTATAAGGACAGTGTCATGAGCAGTATTGACTGAACAGGTGCAGCAAAACAGAGGATAAAAAAGAGGGGTGGAGCCAAAATACAGTGAGGTAGAGCCAAAGCTTGATTGGATTTGGAGGGTGAGGAAGCAGGTAGAGACTGGTTTTCTTCACTCTCGCAGTTATCTTGTCCATTCCTGTGGACTTAAATACCATCCTTATGGTAATTACTCCCAAACTTCTATTTCCAGCTCAGATTGCATCTCTTAGTTCTCATGGCCACCTGCCTTGTTGGCTTCCACTACCTCACAGATAACTCAGGCTTCATGGGTTCAAATGAAAGTCTTGACTGGCCCCCATCTGCCCTTTGTCCTCCAGTCTTTCTCACCTTATTGACAGCAGCATCCACACAGCTGATCAAGCCAAAAGCCTGAGAGTCAGGCTTGATTCTACTTCACTCCCCTTGACCACTTCACTGCATATTCTAAAACTTTAAATTGCATTTTGAATCTGTTCACATCTTACTAGATCTACTGCCACCATCTTACCTGCAGTCACTGTCATTTCTTGCCCAAACCAGAAGTCTAAAAATAGAACAAAACCAATCAAGGTCCAGAAGATATCAGAACTTTGATTTATATTTACTGTATCATATATATGTAATTTAGTTTTGTGTTTATTTCATAATGTACATTCTGCTTGGCAATATTGATAATGATAGCCCACATTTAATGAGCACCTATAATTAAACAGACACTATTCTAAGCACTATTCATTCATTAGCTCATATAGTTGTTCCAATAACCAGATTGGGTTGCTATTTTTATTATTATATTTATTTTGCAAATGAAAAAACTGAGGCACAGAAAGCTCAAATGCCACAAGATCACATAGCTAGTAGCAGCTGTGGCAGACAGAGGTGGGCTGTACTTATTCCCTTGCAAGAAAGGATGCCTTGCCTAGCTGTGAGAAGGTGGTGGGCTGACAGCTTCCACTTGTTCTTTCTGGTCTCCTTCAGTTCTTCCCAGTGCAGCCCCAGCCAATGACTGAGCAAGGTTTAGGCACTTCCACCCAAAGCAGGATTCCTGTAATGGGCTCTTTCCTCTAGAGCTCCCCTTTAGGCAGAGAGGCTTTTTCTACTTGATCTACTTCACGGTTTAATGGCTTCCTCTGACCAGTCCTGCTTCTAAGAAAAGAAGTTTCTTGTGAAAGTAGAAGAAATTCCTTTCACAAGTTTACCCAAATATGCCTGTTTGTCCTAACTGCATCTCCGCATCTGCTTCTCAGTAGACAGAACTAGCAGTGTGATGTGGTTTGGCTCTGTGTCCCCACCCAAATCTCATCTTGAATTGTAATCCCCACAATCCCCATGTGTCAAGGGAGGGACAAGGTGGGAGGTGATTGAATCATGGGGGCACTTCCCCCCATGCTGTTCTCATGATAATGAGTGAGTTCTCAAGAGATCTGATGGTTTTATAGGGCAGTTTTCCCTGCTCTTGCTCACTCTCTCTCATCTGCTTCCATGTAGGACATGCCTCTTTCCCTTCCACCATGATTGTAAGTTTCCTGAGGCCTCCCCAGCCATGCAGAACTGTGAGTCAATAAAACCTCTTTTCTTCATAAATTACCCAGTCTTGAATATGTCTTTATGGCAGTGTGAAGATGAACTAATAGACAGCATCAGAACAGGATCCAATGCCTAGGTAATTTAAATGACTTTTCTATGCACCCCAACACCCATACCTCCTTTCTGTCTGTATTTTCACACCATGCTGGCATTTTTGGATTTGGAGTCCGATTTGCCTGTCTGTGATAAAATATATATAACACAGAATTTGCTATTGTAATCATTTTGAAGTGTACAATTCAGTGGTGTTAATTATAGACACCCCTCAGTATACAAGTGGGATTAATTCTAGAACTCCTCTGCCCCCAACATATATCCAAATCCTGTATACTCAAGTCCTGTAGTCAAGCCCTGTGGAACCTATATACATGAAAAGTTAGCCCTCTTTACACTTGGGTTCACATTCTGCAAATACTGTGTTTTCAATCTGCATTTGGTTGGAAAAAATCTTTCTGTAAATAGACCCATGCAATTCAAACCCATGTTGCTTAAGGGTCAGTTGTACATTCACACTGTTGTGCTACCATCCTCATGATCTGCTTCCAAAACCTTTTCATCACCTCAAATAGAAACTCTGTAATCATTAAATAATAATTGGAGTCTGATTTTTAGATACTAAAAGTAAACTGAGCTCTATCAGGACAGTAACGCTATTTTACTTATCTCCATCTATAGTATCTTAGTAGCGCCTTGCAGTTACTAGGCAAACAAGATATTGCTTATTAAACTGAAGAATTAAAAGAAAATTCCTACTGAGATAACCTGAAAAGACTTCCTGGAAGAGGTGATATTCTAATAAGATTTCAGTAGGTGGGGAGGAGGGAAGGGCATCCTATGCCAAGGGAAGAGTAGGGAGAGGGCAAACTGTTGATTGTCAACCCAAAGTCAATGTTTCCTTGCCAGAACTGCAGTTTTGTTTAGGATAGCGAAGTGCACAACTAACACATATATACACATTTTCTAGCCTCTCATTCAGATTGAGGTAGCCATTTGACTGAGTTGTGACCAATGAGGTGTAAGCAACGGACTAGTGGGGATTTCTCAGTCTGGTTGATATACCTGATACAGGTAGAGACATTTCCTTTCTTCTTCTTCCTTCTACTTTTTGTCTGGAATATAGATGTCATGGCTGAAGCAATACTAGCTGACTCACAGGCATTAGGAAGGTGCCTGGAAAAATGTGGAGTCAGTGGTCCTGACACTTTTAAGCCATGGGACTAGAAGTTCTAGAGTTCTCTCTCTCTCGCTCTCTCTCTCTCTGTGTGTGTGTGTGTGTGTACACATACATGTGTGCATATGTGTAATGCCTAACTGTAAAATGTGGTTGAGTTTTTACTTGTTTGCAGTTAATGCAAGTCCTAACTGATACAATGGTTAAAGGCAGGGAGACTTGTATCTGAGACTGAGATATCAGAGAAAGTTTGTTAAGAAAGGCTATCCAACAAAGTAAACAAGATAAAGTACCTACTGAACAATTACTATGGCCTAGAATGCCAGCTTCTATGTATTTGATGTGCTCTGGCTGTTACAGAAGATAGAGTAAAGGAAATCCCATTGAGGGTGACTTGGAAAAAGCCCCTATAGAGGTAAATAAAATAATGAAGAAAATAAATGAAGTCTTTGGGCCTGGTCAGGTACTTTTTTTCCCCTCCCTGGGAAAATAGAATTTGCCAGTGCTGAAGCCAGGAAATTTAGGGCTGGAAACCAGATTCCAGATTGGAAGTCAGAGATGCAGAAAAGAATGAAGAGACACAGAAAAGAATGCAGAAAAGAAAAAGATTAATTTGGCCAGGCACAGTGACTCATGCCTGCAATCCCAGCACTTTGGGAGGCCTAGGTGGGAGTATCACTTGAGCCCAAGAGTTTGAGGTAATACAGGGCATGGGCAATACAGGGAGACACTATTTCTGCAAAAAATAAAAAAAAATTAGCCAAACATGGTAGAATGCACCTCTGGTCCAAGCTACTTGTGGAGGTTGAGGTGAGAAGTGGGAAGATCGCTTGAACCCAGGAGATCAAGGCTGCATTGAGTCATGAGTATGCCACTGCACTCCAGCCTGGATGGCAGAGTGAGACCCTGTCAAAAAAAAAAAAAAAAAGAAGAGGAAAGAAAGAAAGAAAAGAAAGAAATATTAATTTATGGGGAATATTTTTCACTGATTGTATAAATGAACATTGGAGTGAAACATTGAAATGAAAACAACAATAATAATATGTAGAATAAAAGTACATGATGACAAGAGTATATATGTGAGGGAGCAACGGTGGAAAGCATTCTGAAGTCCCTGCATCTAGTCGTATCTGTCACATCTTAATGAACCCACAGTAAACCAAAAAGAAAACCTTGCAAGAAGCTTTTTGGTTGATGAGGGAAAGTTCTTCTTTATTGAAAAACCCAGCTAATAGGTGCAGAATGAAGGGTAGAATTAGAAAATCACTATTTTGCAAATCTTTAATGAAATAGTGGATGTAGTCAGCAATCATCAGTGACTGCAAAAAAATCATTAGGTGAAAATTGATGAGTAACTTTATAATACCATCATTACAGCTGAAACACCTGAACCCACAGATCAACCTCAACAGCACTCAAAATTGGATAATCAGGACAAGAACGGGGGAAGATGATGAATAGGAGACAGGGCTAATGTGCAGCTCCCACATGGATGGACAGAACAGTGTGTGCAGACTCACACCATGATCTTTTGCTCCAAGAACTACCACAGGAACGTACCGGGAAAACCAAAGGAATTCACAGATTTTTTGAAAGAAGTTGCACACTGCTGCAAATTCCATGAAACAGGCAAAAAAAAACTGTGAGTTCCCAAAGTGTGAGAGGAGGCAAACCTACCTCCAAACACATATCCCCACTGGGGAATCTGAAAATCCAGATCACATGAGAAGGATTTAACTTTACCTAGAGATGAAACAGATTTAGGGGGTTGCATGAAATATAAAAGTGGAAGTGGCAGTGGGAAGTACCTTGCACATATTCCCAGTATCCAGCTTGAGCCCAGGGAAGCCATCCCTGACTATATCTCACTGGGGCCCTTGGGAAAGGCAGTCAGTGGAATTGGGAAGGTGTTGTGGGATGAAGAAAGGTCCCAACTGAAATTGGTAGTGGACTGGGCACAAATTTCTTGAGTGGAGTCTGGGGGATGATCAGGTGCTGCTGGTATGAGTGAGCACAGGACCTACCACCAATGGAGTGAGCAGATGGGGAGGGATGAGGTCTGGAAGCTGTGCTGATTCTCAGCTGGGTAGCTCATGGCCTGGGGCAAGGTCTGAGCAGGGCACTGTAGTGGAAGACCAATCTCTCCAAGTGCATGGGAGCTGGATGAAGCCTCTCACTACCAGCTATCCACCACTTCCCTGGACACAGCAGAGGCAGCCATAATCCCCTCTGGAACGTAGTCCCATTGGCCTGAGAACCACCACCCACCCACCACAGTGGCCTTGGGTAGTAGCAAGCCCTACCCAAGGAGAATCTGAGTGCAGACCTGTCTAACCCTGTCCCCACCTGATGGTATTTCCCTATTCACCTTGGTAGCTGAACACAAAACATAATCATTCTTTGGAGCTTTATGGCCCCACCCATTACCTGAGAAACCAAAATACTTACCCTGGCCATCTTAGGGCAAGTTTAGAGCTCCCTACCACTATCATAGCTGGTGTTCTCTTGGAAGTGCCACCTATTGGCTGGAGGCCAACCAACTCAGGTTATTACAGCAACTCATGACAGAATAACCCTGATCCCAGAAAGGAGAAGACAACACCTAATTCCACTGCCTGCAACATCTTGGGTAACCAGAGGTTTTGAATGTGTCCATGTGACAACTTCACTGCTAATAGAACCAGAATTCAAGAAAGCGACGATATAGGAGTTAAGAAGAAATTATTTAGGCAGAAAGCGAGGGTAAGAGAGTCTTTGGTAAGGTTTTCCTTTTAATGAAAAGCAGATCCAAAATAATCTTCTTTTCTAACAAAGAGCAGCCTGTAAAATGGAGCTGCAGACATAGACAAGCAAGCTGGAAGCTTGCATGAGTGAATGCTGGCAGCTGTGCCATTAGGAAAAGGCTACCTGAGGGCTAGGCATGTCCAACATGGTGGCTCCATCTTCCCCTTTCCTTATCAACCATGTCTACAGCAAGGAACAGACAACGTGGCGCCATTTGCATAATAAAGTAAAGACCCCATTAGCATAATAAGATTAGGGTGGGGGCCAGCTTCCCCATGCGCTATGTAAATAAATGTGCGCACCTGGTCCAACCAATCTTTGGCCCCTGTGTAAATCAGACACTGCCTCCTCAAGCCTGTCTATAAAATCCGGTGCACTGATGCAGGCCTGAAGTCCCACTCAGGCACCCCTCTGTCTCATAGGAGAGAGAGCTGTTTTCCTTTCGCTTTTTTTTGCCTATTAAACCTATGCTCTTAACCTCACTCCACATGTGTTCATGTCCTTGATTTCCTTGGCATGAGGCAACAAACCTTGTGTATTTACCCCAGACAACAATGCCACTTCAGCAAGTGCACTAAACATATCTACAACCAAGGATTCTCACAGAGTCTTATTTCACTCCCCTGCCACCTCCACTGAACAGGTGCTGGTATCCATGGCTGTAGACCTGAAGTCAGATCACATCACAGGACTTTTTTCAGACCACCAGCTCAGAGCCTCATAGCCCCACATGGTGGCCAGACCCAGAAGAGCAAAAACAATCCCTAGATCCATGTGGTGGCTAGACCCAGAAGAGCAATAACAGACGCAGAAGAGCAATAACAATCACTGCAGTCCAGCTCTCAGAAAGCTCCATCCCTTGGGGGAGGAAGAGAGCACCATATCAAGGGATCATCCCATGGGAGAAGAGAATCTGAACAGCAGACCTTGAGTTTCAGACCTCTCCACTGAAATAGTCTCCCCAAATGAGAAGGAATCAGAAAAGTAATTCTGATTATATGACAAAACAGGTTTCTATAACACCCCCAAAAGGTCACACCAGCTCCCTAGCAATGGATCCAAACCAAGAAGAAATCTCTGAATTGCCAGATACAGAATTCAGAAGATTGATTATTGAGCTACTCAAGGAGATACCAGAGAAAGGTGAAAACCAACTTAAAGAAATTTTTAAAAATACAGGATGTGGATGAAAAATTCTCCAGAGAAACAGATATCATAAAGAAAAAAACAATTACAAACTTCTGGAAATGAAAGACACACTTAGAGAAATACAGAATGCACTGGAAAGTTTCAACAATAGACTAGAACAAGTAGAAAAAAGAACTTCAGAGTTCAAAGACAAGGCTTTCAAATTAACCCAATCAAACAAAGACAAAGAAAAAAGAATTAAAAAAATCAACAAAGCCTTCAAGAAATTTGGGATTATGTTAAGCAGCCAAACCAAAGAATAATTGCTGTTCCTGATGAAGAAGAGAAATCTAAAAGTTTGTAAAACTTATTTGAAGGAAAAATTAAGGAAAACTTTCCTGGCCTTGCTAGAGATCTAGACATTCAAATACAAGAAGCTCAAAGAACACCTGGGAAATTCATCACAAAAAGATTATCACCCAGGCACATAATCATCAGGTTATCTAAAGTCAAGGTGAAGGGAAGAATCTTAAGGGCTGTGAGACAAAAGCATCAGATAATCTAGAAAGGAAAACCTATCAGATTAATAGCAGACTTCTCAGCAGAAACCTTACAAGTCAGAAGCAACTGGGGTCCCATCTTTAGCCTCCTGAAACAAAATAATTGTCAACCAAGATTTTTGTATTCAGCAAAAGTAAGCTTCATAAATGAAGGAGAGATAGTCTTTTTCAGACAAACAAATGCTGAGAGAATTCACCATTACTAAGCCAGCACTACAAGAAATGCTTAAAGGAGTCCTAAATCTTGAAACAAAACCTTGAAATACACCAAAATAGAACTCCCTTAAAGTGTAAGTCTCACAGGGCCTATAAAACAATAACAAAAAGGGGAAAAAAACAAGGTATCAAGGCAACAACGAACATGATGAATAGAAAAGTACCTCACATCTCAATACTAACGTTGAATATAAATGACCTAAATGCTCCACTTAAGAGAGAGAGGATGGCAGAATTGGTAAAAATCCACCAACCAAGTATCCACTGTCTTCAAGAGACTCACCTAACACATAAGGACTCAAACTTAAGGTAAAGGGTTGGAAAAAGATATTCCACACAAATGGAAACCAAAAGTGGGCAGGAGTACCTATTCTTATATCAGACAAAACAGACTTTAAAGCAACAACAGTAAAAATAGATAAAGAGTGACATTATGTAATGATAAAAGAACTAGTCCAAGAGGAAAATGTCACAATCATAAATATATATGCACCTAATACTGGAGCTCCCAAATTTATAAAACAATTACTGCTAGACCTAAGAAATGAGATAGACAGCAACACAGTAATAGTGGGGGAATTCAATACTCCACTGGCAGCACTAGATAGGTCATCAAGACAGAAGGTCAATAAAGAAACAATGGGTTTAAACTGTACTCTAGAATAAATGGACTTAAAAGATATTTATAGAACATTCTACCCAACAACTGCAGAATATACATTCTTTTCTTCAGCACTGTAACATTCTCACAGATAGACCATATGATAGGCCACAAAACAAGTCTTAATAAATTTAAGAAAATCAAAATTATATCAAGTATCCTCTCAGACCACAGTGGAATAAAACCAGAAATTAACTCCAAAAGGAATCCTCAAAACTATACAAATACATGGAAATTAAATAATCTGCTCTTGAATGATCTTTGGATAAACAATAAAATCAAGATAAAAATTAAACAAATATGGAGGCCGAGGTGGGCAGATCATGAGGTCAGGAGATCGAGACCATCCTGGCTAACACAGTGAAACTCTGTCTCTGCTAAAAAATACAAAAAATTAGCCGGGTGTGGAGGTGGGCGCCTGTAGTCCCAGCTACTCTGGAGGCTGAGGCAGGAGAATGGCGTGAACCTGGGAAGCGGAGCTTGCAGTGAGCTAAGATTGTGCCACTGCACTCCAGCCTGGGCGACAGAGCAAGACTGTCTCAAAAAAATAAATAAATAAATAAAAATAAATAAAAAATAACCATTATTTAAGCTGAACGATAATAGTGACACAACTTATCAAAACCTCTGGGATATAGCAAAAGCAGTGCTAAGAGGAAAGTCCATAGCATTAAATGCCTACATCAAAAAGTCTGAAAGAGCACAAATCGACAATCTAAGGTCATACCTCAAGGAATTAGAGAAACAAGACCAAACCAAACCCAAGCCCAGCAGAAGAAAAAAATAAAGATCAGAGCAAAACTAAATGAAATTGAAGCAAACAAGCAAACAGAAATACAAAGGATAAATGAAACAAAAAGCTGGTTCTTTAAAAAAATAAACAAAATTGATAGACCTAGTGAGATTAACCAAGAAAAGAAGAGAGAAGATCCAAGTAAGCTCAATTAGAAAGGAAACAGGAGATATTACAACTAATACCACAGAAGTACTAGGTCATTCCAGGCTACTATGAACACCTTTACATACACAAACTAGAAAATGTAGAGGAGATGGATAAATTCCTGGAAATATACAATGCTCCCAGATTAAATCAGGAGAAACAGAAACTCTGAACAGACCAATAACAAGTAGCAAGGTTGAAACAGTAATTTAAAAATTGCCAACAAAAAAAGTCTAGGATCAGATGGATTCACAGCTGAATTCCATCAGACATTCAAAGAATTGATACCAATCTTACTATTCCAAAAGATAAAGAGGAAATCCTCCCTAAATCATTTGATGAAGCCAGTATCACCATAATTCCAAAATCAGGAAAGGACATAACAAAAAAAGAAAACTACAGACCAATATCCCTGATAAACATAGATGCAAAAATCCTTAACAAAGTACTAACTAACTGAATCTAGCAGCATGTCAAAAAAAAAAAAAAATACACCATGATCAAGTGGGTTTCATACCAGGGATGCAGGGATAGTTTAACACATGCAAGTCAATAAATGTGATATATCACATAAACAGAACTAAAAACAAATACCATATGATCATTTCAATAGATGCTGAAAAAGCATTTGACAAAAGCTAGCATCCCTTTATGATTAAAGCCCTCAGCAAAACTGGCATAGAAGGGACTTATCTCAAAATAATAAAAGCCATCTGTGAAAAACCCACAGCCAACATTATACTGAATGGGGACAAATGGAAAACTGAAACTGAAAACTGGAACAAGACAAGATTGCCCACTTTTACCACTTCTATTCAGCATAGTACTGAAAGTCCTAGCCAGAGCAATCAGACAAGAGAAAGAAATAAAGGGCATCCAGATTGGTAAAGAGGAAGTCAAACTGTCGCTGTTCACCGATGATATGATGTATACCTGGAAAACCCTAAAAACTCGTCCAAAATGCTCCTAGATCTGATATATGAATTTAGTAAAGTTTCAGGATACAAAATCAATGTACACAAATCAGTAGCACTGCTATACACCAACAACAACCAAGCTCAGGAACAAATAAAGAACTAATTCCCTTTTACAACAGCTGCAAAAAATAAAATAAAACACTTAGGAATATACCTAACCAAGTAGGTGAAAGATCTCTACAAGGAAATCTACAAAACGCTGCTGAAAGAAATCATCAATGACACAAGTAAATGGAAACACGTCCCATGCTCATGGATGGGAAGAATCAATATTGTGAAAATGACCATACTGACAAAAGCAATCTACAGATTCAATACAATTCCCATCAAAGTACCATCATCATTCTTCACAGAGCCAGGAAAAACAATCTGAAATTTCATATGGAACCAAAAGAAAGACCCGACATAGCCAAAGCAAGACTGAGCAAAAGGAAAAAATCTGGAGGCATCACATTGCTGGACTTCAAGCTATACTACAAGGCTGTGGTTACCAAAACAGTATGGTACTGGTATAAAAATAGGTACATAGACCATTGGAACAGAATACAGAATGCAGAAATAAAGCCAAATGCTTACAGCCAACTGATCTTTGACAAAGCAAACAGAAACATAAAATGGGGAAAGGGCACCCTATTCAACAAATGGTGCTGGGATAATTGGCAAGCCACATGCAGAATAATAAAACTGGATCCTCATTTCTCACCTTATACAAAAATCAGCTCAAGATGGATTGAAGACTTAAATCTAAGACCTGAAACCATAAAAATGATGAAGATGGCATTGGTAAAACTCTTCCGGATGTTGGCTTGGCAAAGAGATCATGACCAAGAATGCAAAAGCAAATGAAACAAAAACAAAAATAAATAGATAGGATCTAATTAAACTAAAAAGCTTCTGCACAGCAAAAGAAATAATCAGCAAACAGACAACCCACTGAATGGGGGAAAATATTTGCAAACTATACATCCAACAAAGGACTAATATCCAGAATCTACAGGGAACTCAAACAAATCAGCAAGAAAGAAAAACAAAAACAAATAACCCCATCAAAAAGTGGACAAATGACATGAATAGACAATTCTCAAAAGAAAATATACAAATGGCCAACAAACAGGAAAAAATGATCAACATCTTTAATTATCAGGGAAATGAAAATTAAAACCACAATGAGATATCACCTTACTCCTGCAAGAATGGCCATAATTAAAAAATCAAAAAATAATAGATGTTGGCATGAATGTGGTGAAAAGGGAACACTTTTACAATGCTGGTGGGAATGTAAACTAGTATTACTGCTATGGAAAACCGTGTGGAGATTCCTTAAAGAACTAAAAGTAGAACTACCATTGGATCCAGTAATCTCACTACTGGGTATCTACTCAGAGGAAAAGAAGTCATTATATGAAAAAGACACTTGCACACACGTTTGTAGCAGCACAATTTGCAATTGTAAATACATGGAACCAGCCTAAATGCCCATCAACCAATGGGTGGACAAAGAAAATGTGGTATATATATACACTGTGGAATATTATGCAGCCATAAAAAGGAATGAAATAATGGCATTTGCAGCAACCTGGATGGAATTGGAGACCATTATTCTAAGTGAAGTAAAACAGGAATGGAAAACCAAATATCATATGTTCTCACTTATAAGTGGGAGCTAAGCTATGAGGACACAAAGGCATAGGAATGATGGGGACTTTGGGGACTCGGGAGGAGGAGCATGAGGGATAAGACTACACATTGGGTACAGTGTACACTGCTTGGATGATAGGTGCACCAAAATCTCAGAAATTACCACTAAAGCACTTATCCATGTAACAAAAAACCACCTGTTCCCCAAAAACTATTGAAATAAAAATAAAATAAAAAAAAAAAAATTAAAAAAGAAAGCTGACAACAAGCTTTCTGCCAGAAAAAAAAAAAAATTAGACAATCAGATTTTATGTGGGTTCTAATGAGATGCTATAGAGGTATAAAGAAGCCGCCTATGAAATATTGTTGTTCCCACCCCACCTGCCAAAAACACCTTGAATCTGGATCTCTTCAAGTCTCTAGGTCTACCTACCAGTTGACAGGAAATCTAGAGGATAAAGAAATGTATTGAATGATATGACAAAGAGACAATTAGCCAAACCCAAAATGTAGGAGAATTCTACATGACAAATGACCCAGTGTATCCATCAAGGTCCCAGCAAGAAACAGATGGCACATTCAAATTAGGTAATTTGAGAAGGGCTTAGTAAAAGGACTACTTAGAAAGATTTGGGTGGGATATAGGGAAACCACAAGGCAAAAAGAGATAGCACAGGATCCCAGAGCTAATTACAACTCACGAGACATTGCCATTTTAGGGAAAAAGGAACAGGGGAGGAATAGTTACTGTAACAGAGGATACATAGTGAGAGAGAGAGGGAAGGAAGGAAAAGAGAGAACAAAAGCCATGGAGAGGGCCTCCTTATGGTGGCTGTGACCTTGGGTTGAAGGACACAACAAGGTTGCCAAGAAATATTGCACACTGATGGTTAGAATGGTGGTCACTCTCGGCTGGGCACGTGGCCTACGCCTGTAATCCCAGCACTTTGGGAGGCCAAGGCAGGTAGATCATCTGAGGTCAGGAGTTCAAGACCAGCCTGGCCAACATGGCGAAACCTTGTCTCTCCTAAAAATACAGAAAAAGAAAAAAGAATTAGCCAGGTATGGTGGCAGGCACCTGTAATCCCAGCTACTTGGGAGGCTGAGGCAGGAGAATCACTCAAACCTAGGAGGCAGAGGTTGCAGTGAGCCAAGATTGCGCCATTGCACTCCAGCCTGGGCAACAAGAGCGAAACTCCATCTTAAAAAAAAGAAAGAAAAGAATGGTGGTCACACTCTATTTGGAATAAGATAGAAGATGAAGTAAGAAAGATCTAATTTTTTACACAAATAAACTTGAGAATCTCTTAACTACCTGTTTTCAACATGGAATTGAGTATTGATACATGAGGCATATTCTGAATCCAGGACTAACACAATAGATTCCAACTGGTGTTCTTGTGTTCAGTCTCTGCCTTCCATCTCTTCTCCACTTAGTGGGCAGTGTGTTTGAAAAGTACAAATCTGGTTCTGGGGTCAAACAGCTTGAAAACCTTCAGTTGCCCTTTCAATAGAGATTTTTAGCCTGCTTAATAAGACACTCCATGATTTAGCACTTTCTTGTCCCTCCAGTCCTTCTTCCCTTAAATGGCTCTGTCCCAGACGCATGGGGGCATCCTTGGAATGCTACCAGCTTTCTTCCTAGTGGACATTCACATATGTGGTTCCTATGGTCTGTAAGTTGTTTAGGGATCAGTTATAGGAATGAGAAGCGATTCTAGTTAGATTAAGTAGTAAGGGATTTATTTATTGCAGGATATTACATGGTTCCAGAAGCAATGGCAAGCCGGGAAAATGAGACTCTAAGACAACCCCAAGAGCTGCAGGCAGATCTGGCCACCTCGGGTGCTTTTGTCTCTTCTGCCATCAGGGAGCTGGCAGCCAAATTGGGAAGCTGCCCCTGCAGCAGCTCTCTGCCAGGATCAAAAACCCACCAAAACCAGCAAACAGCCACAACCTAGAAACTGAAATACCCAGGAAGCCACCAAAATCAAGAAGTGCCTTGTGGCGGCCAGACTTCCGTCCATGAGGAGCTTACCAACCAGCAGAAGCCACAGAAGCAGGGAGGTGAGGCCACTGCAGCACCCCCATCTTCCAAATCCCGCAGGAATGCACTGACTGATGGAGCTAATTCACATTCAGAACACGTACTACAAAGAAACCCAGAAAATGTGGCTTTTAGCTTTCCAGACTAACACGGTAGAAGAAGGTTGGAGTAGATATTGAGTGCCAGTGGACGACATCTGCATAGCCTGGAACACTCTGTTCTACCTCTTCCCCTGGCCCAGTACTACTCATCCTTAGGTCTTGGGTTACACTCCACTTGCTTAAGAAGATGTTCCCTGCCTCACAGCCTGTCTAGATGCCCCACCTCATCCCCAGTACCTGCTGAGAATACCCACCATATTGCCCTGTGATTATACTCACCACCCTCTAAGAACTGGTCAGCCCTCCCTGCTAAACTCCATCATGGCAGGAAGTGTATCTATCTTGTACACCCCAGTATTCTCAATAGCTTGCCCAGTGCCTGGAATGTGACAATCTCTTCATGTGAAATGAAAGCATGTGTTGAATGTATAAATAAATGAAGGCACAAAGGAGAAGATCAGGGTGAATTCTGTGGGAACAGCTTGAAATAAGGCGATAATGACATCAGTTGGAGAAAAGTTCTTTCAACATGGGGAGGGTTGCAATCTCTGTGATCTGTTTTTTGCAGGGAGTGGATACACTCAGTATAAAATATAGCAGGTCTCTTAAATTGCTAGCAAACCTGGATATCATCTGGAAAAAATCTGTCATGTTTTAAAAAACAAATTTTCTTCAGCAGCCTTGAATGGAATCAAATTCTCGGAAGGGAATGATGCTTCCCACTCACAGGCGTCTGTTGTCAATAAGCAACGTTGTTCCCTGGAGTATTTGCCTCTGAGGAGGCTGGCGCGTGCCTGGCCACTTCGTAAGATCAACGCGATGCTCAAGAGCCTCAAAATACAGGAATTGTCTTTGTTCAGAGGTTGCCCGCTGCCCAGTCCTCAGAACAGACTGAATCCCAGAGAGGGAACATTTCCCATGCAGCCCTTGGAGGGCTCTGGTTTGAATACAGACTCACTTCTCCAAGGATTTGACCTGACAGCTTGTTTGTTTGTGAAGGCTGGGTCTGTATGGAAGCCTAGCCACGATACTGAAGAGTTTTACTTTTCAGAAGAAAGAGCCTGAAGAGCAGGTACATGTGTGACTCAGCAATGCCTAGGCTCTGGCAAAATTGGTGGTAAAATCAGCCAGTCAGGAGCTCCTTTCCTCTAAGCAGACATACCAGTGACATTGGAGGAATGAAGGTCTTATCTCAAACAGATGCAGAACTCATTTTGGGATACCCAGCTCCTCTGCATTTTGCGATATCCAGTTCCTCTGCATTTTGCCCCAGTGACCTGACTACAGTTGGAAGTGTTAGCACGGTGAGTTCAGAGGCAGCCAGGAGGAAGTGAAGCCAGAGGGAGCAACTGGGGCTGATCAAGGGAAAACCACTGCTATGGGGCTTGGTTTTGACACCTGTTGTCTAGGGTCACAGCTTTCTCCCAAAATACGTTACCATGATTAATAAAACTAAAGTTTGAAAGGTCACATAAAAAAGAAACATTAACAGTAAATCATCTGAGCACAGTGGCTCATGCCTGTAGTCACAGTACTTTGGGATGCTGAGGTGGCTGGATCACTTGAGGTCGGGAGTTCAAGACCAGCCTGGCCAACATGGTGAAACCCCGTCTCTACTAAAAATTAGCGGGGCATGGTAGCGTGCACCTGTAATCCCGCTACTCCAGAGGCTGAAACACGAGAATCACTTGAAGCTGGGAGGCAGAGGTTGCAGTGAGCTGAGATTGCACCACTACACTCACTCCAGCCTGGGTGATAGAGCAAGACTCTGTCTAAAAAAACACACACACACACAATAAATCCATAGTATATATATGTGTATATGAATATGTAATAATGTAGCTATTTATAAAACATCAATAAGTAGTGTTCATGGGCATGTGTAAAATATTGAGGGTCCACTTGTACCTCATAATTGATTCATTCACTCCCAAATCCTCCACATCGCCCATGAGTCGTCCTTTCTTTTCTTTTTTTTTTTTTTTTTTGAGACGGCGTCTTGCTCCGTCACCAGACTGGAGTGCTGTGGCGCGATCTCAGCTCACTGCAACCTCCAACTCCCTGGTTCAAGAGATTCTCCTGCCTCAGCCTCCTGAGTAGCTGGGATTACAGGCACGCACCACCACATCCAGCTAATTTTTGTATTTTTTTTTTAGTAGAGACGGGGTTTTACCATGTTGGCCAGGATGGTCTCGATCTCCTGACCTTGTGATCCACCCACCTGAGCCTCCCAAAGTGCTAGGATTACAGGCATAAGCCACCGCGCCTGGTCGAGTCGTCCTTTCTTACTAACAAATCTATAATACTTCTTATTTATTTTATTGGTGCTACTACTTTCCTTGTTACTACTACCTTGGTTTATAATAGTTGTTAAGAGACAGAGCTCGGGAGTCAGACTTTCTCAGTTTAAATTCCAATTCCACCACTTGCTGCTGTGTGACCTAGAAAAAAATTAACTTAATTTTTTCCTGTCTCAGATTCTGCTCTGTAAAATGGAGATTAAAATATCTCTAACCACATGGAAGTGTTATGGGAATTAAATGAGGTAATCCATATGGTATTTAAAACAATGTTTGGCATATTGCGACTCCTCCATGATATTTGTTATCCTTCTTATAATTATTGCTATTAATATTCATTGGTAGCACTCTTACTGTTTAGAGGCACTGCTTTCATGGATTTTGTGTAGTAAGTCAAAATTATGGTTTAAATGATAGCTGGCTCAAGAATATTTCTCTCTCATTCTCCATTCTAGGGCTTTAACTACAGCAAGTGAGAATAGGTTGAGTTCAGGATAAGCTAGAAATTAAGAAATTGAATTTACCAACTAAATATCCATATTCCACAGAAAGGAACCATAGCATTAAATTAAGTAGGTTGCCTTGAGTAGCAAGCAAAAAATCCTGCACAAATTAGCTTAAGCTGGAAACTTAAGAATTGGTTCACATAGCACCTGTCCAACTGTAGGGTGGGCTTCAGGGTTGGTTGATTCAGTGATTCATTGATACCATTGTGGTCTTAGGTTCTTTCCATCTCTCCCCTCTGCCCTCAATAACACTGGCTTCTTCCCAAGTCTAGTTCCCCCTGTAATAAGATGGTGGCTGCTAATGGCAATTGGGATATATGTCTTTTTTCACATCCAGTGAAGGAGAGAAAGAGAGCTGATACCCATGAAAAATCTTTTACTAGAGTGTTTAGGAGCCTCCCCTCATGACACAGGGGCTTACATTGTCTCAAGCCTCCCCATATCCACCTGTCAAGGAGAATGATGTTAGCAAGGTTTACTTAGAGCAATCAGCTGGGATGTAATGGACACTGGAGACTCAGCCACAGTGGCCTCTGTGGGGATCACATGACAAGGCTTCCAGGTGGTGCAGGGGCTTGTCAACTTCGATGTTGCTTGACTGTCAACAAATGGGGCTGTTCTGTTTATTAATTGCTGAGCAGCAAACAACAAAACTGGCTTGAACATACTAACATTTTACTATATCTCACCATTTATGGGTCATAAATTCAGGCAGGGCTTAGCCTGGAGACACTTAGGCTTCATAGAGCTTTGACTGGGGCTACTCAGTGGTATTCAGGTGGCATCTGGTCTGGTCTGAGGATCCTGGATGTCATCACTCACATGCCTGGCACCCCGCTGGGGACAGCGGGAGACTGGGCTGGGCTCAGCTGGACCCCTCCCCCTCTCCATGTGGTCTCTCCAGTGGGGTAGATGGACTCATCCCATGGTGCCTCAGTTTGCTACCCTCCTATGAGTGACAGAGAAATTGTGAAATGAAAGATAATTCAAATGATGGCCGGGCGCGGTGGCTCACGCCTGTAATCCCAGCACTTTGGGAGGCCGAGGCGGGCGGATCACGAGGTCAGGAGATCGAGACCATCCCGGCTAAAACGGTGAAACCCCGTCTCTACTAAAAATACAAAAAATTAGCCGGGCGTAGTGGCGGGCGCCTGTAGTCCCAGCTACTTGGGAGGCTGAGGCAGGAGAATGGCGTGAACCCGGGAGGCGGAGCTTGCAGTGAGCCGAGATCCCGCCACTGCACTCCAGCCTGGGCGACAGAGCGAGACTCCGTCTCAAAAAAAAAAAAAAAAAAAAAAAAAAAAAGATAATTCAAATGATTTGAAATGTCATCTTCAGTACACATAATTAACGTAAAGCAATGGGCATGCAATTTTTAATAACAAGTCATTTGTTTCTCTCTATGCCCACCAAATAGATGTGTCCATGATTTTTTTAAGTATCAGTTTGAAGAGGTGCTACTCTGCCATCCTGTCCAAGGTGCCACTGTCACTACTCACCCTGTGGGAGTGAGTTATGGGGCTCTCTTCCTTTCTCAATAGCCCACTTGGTCTAGAGCACCAACCTGTCTCTCTCATGGTCTCCCAGCAACCTCCAATCTGATCTTGCTGCTTCCAGTCTCACCTCCTGCCACTCATCCTCCATATAGTTTTCCTGCGATTTTTCTGAAACACAAATCTGCTCAGACTATTCCCTTGCCTAAATTCAATTTTAGGTTCTCTTTTACCAACCAGATAAAGTTCAAACTCTGGCATGGCTCACAAGTTCCTTCACAAGTTGTTCCTATCCCAAGTCAAATTCCCCAGTCATCACTGGGATATAAGCTCCAAGGGGGCAAGCATCTCTGTTGTTCACTGCTTTCTTCTCTAGCACCTCGACTGATACTAGCACATAGTAGGTTCTTAATAAGTATTTCTGGAAGGAAGGAGATAATAGAAAAAGGGAGGAATGGGGAAGGGAAAGAAGGGAGGAATGGGGAAGGGAAAGAAGAAAGGAAGAATGTTAGTTCCTATAGCACCCTATCCTATCAAAATGTTCATCTCCAGTTTAATGTCTACCTTCCTCACTAGATTGTAAGGGCCAAGGGGGTAACTAATATGTCATATTCACTACTCCTAGCACAGTGCCTGACATCAAGTCGGTGCCCAAAAAATATCTTTAAAGCCAATGAATTTATTAATAATTCAAGCACATGTTATGTGCTTAAGTCACATACAAAGAGGGGTGGAAGTCAGAGGGAAGGCCATCTGATCTTCTGGAGACCAGGGATAGGTATGGGAAGGGGGCAGGACATGAACGAGTCCTTGGAAGGCTATGACCCATGGCTGAGCAATTGGTCCCCTTTAGGCCTATGGCCCTGGAAGGTTGAATACTATGCTCAGTCCTAATATCCATTTTGTATATCTAGTTTTCTTATTTGGCATGAGTATCCAACCCTGCTAGTATTTTTCCAAGAGAGTGAGTATTTTGAAGTGATTCGTGAACAGCCTTGCCTCAGCCTCCTGGAATGTGACCTCATTCCTTCCCCAGGTCGTTCCCCTCATTAATCAGCCTGCCCAGTCCTGCTCTATCAGGCAGGCTGCCAGGCATGCAGCTGGCATGGGAGCTCCCAGTTCAGGGGCTGAGGTAGGCTTTGCTGTTTAAGAGCATGAACTTCAGAGACAAAAACACCAGGGTTTCGATCTTGAATCCATCCCTTACTAGCTGTAGGATCTTGGGCAAGTTTCTTATCTGTCTAAGCCTTGACTTCATCAGATGGAAAGTGGAGCTAATAACAGCACCTAAATTCACAGTGTATTTGTGAGAATAAGATAATCCTTGAGCCTATATCACAGAGAGTTCAATAATTGTTGAGTCTTATTTTTCTACTCAAGGACTTCTCTTGCCTTTTGGCAGGTTCTGAATTTCTCTGGGATGGAGCAGAAATAGAGGGAGGGAAAAGGAAGGGAATGTGGCATACACTGAGAACCTGTGTCACATCAGATGCTCTGGTGGCATGTCTGCATAACATTAGCCCCATCTTCCAGTGGAAGGAATGCAGATGGTAGAATAGAGAAATCTGGGTTGGAATCCAGGCTCTGAAACTCACTTGCTGTGTGAGTCTGGGCAAAGATCTTCCCCTCTGAGCCTCAGTTTCCCACCAATTGTGGCAGTATCTACTTGGTATTCATGCCATATGGATTATATGAGCTAACATCATGTAAAAATGCTTAGGCAGATGATGCTCAGTAAATGTGCGTTTCTTCATTCCCAAGGGGACAGCTGGTTGACAGAAGGACTTGAATAGAGAGAGGAAGAACATGAGGACATGCCAGAAGGGAGTACCCTTTGGGCATCAGGATGCTGGAGGGGACACACTTCTCTAACCCCCCTGAGAACTGGGCTGCTATAAATGGCATGAGTAGACCTCTCCTTTGGGCTGGCAAAAAGACTCAGATGGCTGGCTCCCTCCCTCCCCAACCTTTCTGGGCCCAGGGCATGGGAGAGGATGGTAATGACAGAGCAGAAAGGAGTCCAAACAACAGTTATAAATGTCAGCACATCTGGATTTTGGCTCTGGCTCTAGCATTTATTAGCCATATGACTTTGGACAAGCCCTCGTGATCTCCCTGAGCCTCAGTTCCCCATCTAAAATGGGGATAATATCAGGTATCTTCTGATTATCTATTGTGGCATCACAAACCACCCTAAACCTTAATGGCTTACAACAATTATTACCTCTCAGGGTTCGTGTTGACTGGACTCAGCTGGGTGGTTCTTGCTTGGGGTCTAGCGCAGCTGCAGTCAGAGGCCCCTGGGGCTGGACTTATCCAAAGGCTTGACTGGGCTTGATGTCCAAGGTGGCTTTTTTACTTACCTGGGCTGGGAAGGCTGCAAGTCTGGACGCTGGTTGGACACCTCTCTTGCCATGTGTCATCTCTAGCTGGGACTTCTTCTTAGAGTAGTCAGACTTCTCACAAGGCAGCTGGCTTCCCATAGAGCATGCATGCCAAGACGCCAAGGCAGAAACAAAATGGTTACCTGTGACCTAGTCTTGGAAGTCCCTTTGTGTCACTTCTGCTACATTCTATTAGCTATAAATGAGATATGGGCCCAGCCCAGATTCAAGGCGAAGTGAAGGGAGGAGTGTCAAAGATTTTTCACCATCTTGAACCCACCACACCACATATCCCATGTACCTCGCAGGGCTGTTGTGAAGGTGAGTAGCAATGGCATGCATGAAAGCCCTTAGTGTAAATCATTACAGAGACATGAGGTTATTGTTCCACGTCCATCCTTTTCTCTCTTCCCTAAATCAAGCACTCATCCATCCTTTCTATCCTGTACCAGTAGCCTCCAGAGTAGCCTCTTTGCCTTTTGTGTCTCCCTGTCAAATTTATCCTCCACAAATGCCTGCCTATATGTCTATCCCAGGTGAAAAACTATCACTAGCTTCACGATGTGGCTCTCACTTACCCGTGCAGGTTTGACTGGCCATATGCTCCCAATCCCCCGCCATATTACTCTGTTCCAACCTTTGGCACCTTTGCTCACACCATTCTTTCTTTCCAGAGCTCTCTTCTCTTTCCATTTCTGCCCACACTCCAACCCTTCTGGTTAAACCTGTCCTCATGTTTTAAGATACCCTGCAAATATCATCCCTTTGTCCAGCTAACAACTCTTGCCCTCACTACTGCTGCACATACCTGTTGAATTCAAATTCCCCCTCTGTGTGCTCCCCTAAATCCTGTGTTCACTGCAGACTGGTCTCGCCGTTCCTCAAAGGGCCAAGCACAGTCCTGACTCAGGGCCTTTGCACGTGTTGTTCCCTCTGCCTGGGATGCTCATTTCCTAAATATTCACTAAATATCTGGCTTCCTTACTTCATTCAGGTCTCTGTTCAAATCTTGCCTCTCAGAAAGACCTGCCTGACCAGCCAATCTAAGATAGCACAGCCTCCCTCACTCTCCCACCCTGTAACCTGCTTCTTTTCCTTCAGAGCACTTGTCATCTGTCTAGGGCCCATGCAATATGGGGCTGCAAGAGCCAGCTGTGTGAATCACTCCCAAATTGGCACTCAGTGACACCATGTTGATAGCTTGAAATTGGTCACAGGGAGAGTACACTAAGGCCCCTCCTGCCCTCAATTTAGAATCTCTGATGGAACTCATCACCTTCATCTCACTTAACAGGGATAGTGAAATGGCTGGTTCAAGGTCACACAGCCAGTTAATGAAAACATTAGGCAATTTGGTTTTAAGAAGGAACTCAGAAACCAGTTGCTTGAGTTCAAATCCTGACTTCACCATTGACTAGCTACTTGAAAATCACCAAAGGCTACAAATTAGGGTACTTTCTTTTTTCTCCTGGAGAACTTGTTTTCAAACACCTATGTGCATACTATTCTGTGTTTATTTCATTTATTGTGTATCTCTCTCACTAGATCATAATTTTTGCAAAGGCAGAGGCTTTACTAATGCTTAGTCCCAGCATCTAGTGCCATGCCTGACACAAAGTATGTGCTCAATAATGTTTGTTGAATGAACAAACAAATACGCAAACCAACCAATGAGAAACAATAATCACATCCAGTTGTAAACTGAGTCTTTGAAAGAAGACATTGGCTCTCTTTTCATCTTTTGTGCTCAGCACACAGCCTGGCACATAGAAGGAGCTCAAGGAATGTTGATAAACAAGAGAATACCCTCTGAAGACGGCTGCATCTACATCAAATCCAGCTGCTCTCTGATAAGCATAAAAAACTGCACCAGACAACTCCACTGGTATTTCCATTATGCGCCAAAGAGAAACCTGCAGGAACTCAGGCAAGAAAAAAGCACTGGCCTGGGAGGCAGGAGCCTGGGTTTTTAATCCCAGCATAACTGTGCCTGCTATGCGGCCTCAGGCAAGTCACTTCTCCAACCCAGGCCTTAATTTTCCTATTGGTAAAATGGGGTGATTGGAAGTAGATGATGGGGTCCCTTCTAACTCAGAGCTGTGGTTGAATTTATGTCTGGATCTGCCCCAGGCAGGGCTGCTCTAAAGTAGCAGGAGGTGGCTGATGGACAGAACTGGCCTTCTACAGGTACAAGAGGCAGGATGTGGCCAGGATGCCACAGCTGGAAGATAGCATAGTGCTCCAGAGTCTGGGACACCTCAGAGCTGTGGGATGGGCCCCTCTCTTCTTCTCCGGTCTCTACCTCTGCCCAGAAACCATTCCAGCTCCTCCCGCCTGTCTTCATATGGCACCTGACTTGAGGCTTCCCTGAGAACAGTTAGAGCATTGGCTGCTTTACCTACTGGAGCAGGACACGAATAGGAAGGCTCTGATACAGGGAGGAGCACGGAGACGCGTTACATCTTGGTAACTTTGGCTTGTGTCTAAACAAACAGGTTGGCTAAGTTGGTCAGCCCGCACCTTGTTTCCTGTTATTTATGTTACATGGAGCATAAGCAGTTCAGAGCAATCGAAAGAGCCCTGATTTGGATAATAGAAACTACCATTTATTGAGCATTTATTGTGTGCCAGGTGCTGCTTTAAGCTAAGGGTCAGCAAACTACACTGGCCAAATTCTGTTTTTGTGTGGTCCATGGGCTGAGACACTTTTAAATTTTGAGACAGGGTCTGGCTGTGTCACCCGGCTGGACAAAATCACAACTCACTTCACTGCAACCTCCGCCTCTTGGGCTCAAGCCAACCTCCCATCTCAACCTCCCAAGTAGCTGTGACTACAGGCACATGGCACGACGCTGGGCTAATTTTTGGATTTTTTTAAAGATGGGGTTTTGTCATGTTGTCCATACTGGTCTCAAACTCCTGAGCTCAAGTGATCCACCCTCCTTGGCCTCCCAAAGTGCTAGGATTACAAGTGTGAGCCATCGAGCCTGGCCGAGATGTTGTTTACATTGTTAAATAATTATATAAGTACTTCATAATTATCTTGATTTGTTTTTTTTTTTTTTTGACAGGGTCTTGCTCTGTCACCCAGGCTGGAGCACAGTGGCGCCAACAAGGCTCACTGTAGCCTCGACCTCTCAGGCCTAAGTGATCCTCCCACCTCAGCTTCCCAAGTAGCTGGGACCGCAGGCACACACAACCACACCTGACTAAATTTTAAAGTTTTTGTAGAGATAGGGTTTTGCCATGTTGCCTGGCTGGTCTCGAACTCCTGGGTTCAAGCCACTGCCCGCCTCAGCTTCCCAAACTGCTGGGATTACAGGCATGAGCCACCGCACCCAGTCTCATCTTTAATTTTGATCCTTAGCACACAAAGCCTAAATTGTTTATCTAGCCTTTAACTAACTAGTTTGCTAACCAACCCCTGCTCCAACTTTTTTTTTTTTTTAACATGGATTAATTCCTAATCCTCACAATAACCCTGCAAAGTAGGTTAACTATTATTATCCCCATTTTACAGATGAGCAAATAGAGGCAGGGGGAGGTTAAATGATGTATTGAGGTCAAATCGCTAGTAAATGGCAAAGGCAAAATTTGAACTCAGGCAACTGGTTTCTGAGTTCCTTCTTAAGACCAAACTGCCTAATGTTTTCACTAACTGGCTGATGATCTTGAGCAAGTCATTTCACTGTCCCTGTTAAGTGAGATGAAGGTGATGAGTCCCACCAGAAATTTAAAACTGAGGTCAGGAAGGTCCTTGAAATGAATTTCAGGGAGTCTGTGACTCTGGAATCTGTGCAAAATATACTGTCTTTGTGCACAGTTGCATTATTTGAAGAGAGAATCCATCACTGTCTTCAGAAATGGATTCTGTGACTCAAAACAGAACTACTGGACTAGCTTTCTTGGAAGGCTATCTCCAGCCTTAACATTCTTCAATGTTATTTATTTGGATTTTTTTCCTCATGTGCTATCTGTTTAGGTTGTCTTTTCTGCCTAAATGTTATTTATTTCAGATGCCTTTTAAAATGCAAATGTTATCTATTGGATTGTATTTGCTCCCACCTCCAAATTGCTACATACTCATTACCTTTAAAAAATGAGAAAAACAGACAACCTTAAGAGCCAGTGAGGTTTTTCTACTGATGTATCCTGCAACTCTATATAAATAATCTGTATAAGTGGAGAGGACAGGAGATATGGTTTATAAATCCATATTGTAGTTATTCATATGTTTCCATGTTATTTATTTAACAAATATGTACTAAACCCCCACTAGGAGGTAGTTGCTGTGTGCACTGTAACCTCCATGGAGCCAGGGGTTAGGTGTAACTTGCCATTGTACCTCCTCAGCCCAATACAGACCTGGCACCTGGGAGGCACTCAGTGAGGATGCCTGCCTGCCTGCCTGCCTGGCTGAAGAGACGGATGAATAGAAGGCTGGAAAGTATATGAAAAATCAGTAGTGTGGGTGGGGAAAGAGGTTCAGGGTGCTGAGCAATTTAGTTGTGTTGGTTTCTGGTACCTTCCAATTGGCAGCCTCCCATGATCTTGGAGAAGCTTTTGAGGGCAGTCCTCATTTTCCCATCAGTCATGCTTTGAAAGATGCTAGTTGAAGATCAGCTGACAGAGCCAGGACTTCTCACATGAATCCAAAGAAATTAATCCATTTTCTTACATCCCACTAAGGTCAGAGGAACAACAAGGACTTTCTTGCCCTTTGTCTTGGGCCCACACATCCCAGAATTAGAGAACAATGAAGTCTCCTCTTTCCTGCCTGCCTCATTCTTCCTAGACTTCTGAACTTTTCCTCTCTCCCACTCCTCCTCGCCTCTACTTCCATCCCTGGTGTGAGTCTTGTGACTCATGACGGCTGAGAGTAGGAGTGCAGTTGAGCCCCTCAGCACACTCAGCCCTGGACCGATGTGACTGGAGATGTCTTGAGATGGACAGGAACAGGCGCAGGGAGGAGCAGGAGGGTAAGCCATGCCAGGGATGTAGCTTGGGTATTAATGTCTGTGGGAGGGGCAGCACAAGAGCTAAGGAGAGCATCTTCTACCAGGGAGACTGAAAGGTTCTGTTCTGCTTTCTTGTTTTGAACAAAACAAAACAAAATTCACCTGCACTAGGCTGTACTGTATTCATCTGCAGTGTCCATAATACTTGTCTGTCTTCCCAAAAGGAGAAGATAGCAAAACTTACTATCCATACCATCTAAAGGTAGTAAGTTGTCGGATAAAATCAAAGCCTTATCCTTACTTGGATTCTCTTGAGAGGCCATTTTTGATGTTCTGATTCAGCATGAGTAAGAGAGGTTAGGGTATAACTTGAACTTGTATACCAGTGAACTTCTATACTACCATGCTGGAGTTTTAAACATGTTGGGTTCAGGAAATTTATATGGTCTGTAGCAGCATGATGTCACAGAAAAAGCATAATCTCAGAACCAGGCAAAAAGGGGTGTGAGCTGGGTGCAGTGGCACGTACCTGAAGCCCTAGCTACTTGAAGCTGAGGTGGGAGGATTACTTGAGCTCAGGAGTTGAGGCTGTAGTGAGCTATGATTGCATCACCGCACTCTAGCCTGGGCAACAGAGAGAGATCCTGTCTCTAAAATATGTTTAGAAAAGAATGTGAATTACAGCTGTTCCATTTACTATTTGTGTATTCTTAGACAAGCGCCCTTCTGCCTGTTTCCTTATTTGTAAAGTGAGAATAACAAAACCCACTCCCTTCAGATGTTATAGGGATAGAGGAAACACATGTTGAGTTGCTGGCTGGTAATAGGCTCTCAATACAGTGTAGATATTTATTGTAAGTATTGCCCAGAAACCATCTGTTCCTAGAAAAGAGGAAATTGATAGATAGGTAAGGGGCTGTTAGGGTTACTCCTGCCTTCCTAGACAGGGGAGTAGAAAGGCAAGACAACAGGAGTAAAACCTCCTCAAAGCTTCCCTAGAATCCTCTGCTGGTATCTCTCATAATGTCATTTGCTGGGCTGGGCCACTGGTGGAGATGGTGCTTGCCACCACCTAGGGTGTGAGGTTGGCACAGGAGGAAGGATGACGGGATAGGGACGTTCCACTAGAGAAAGGCAATGGAAGAGGCAGGGAGAGAGCAGGAAAGGGGAAAGTCTGGGGACAGGAGAACTGGCTTCAAATTCCTGAGGAACCAAGGAGTGAAAGGGGAACATTACTTACTCTTTCTTGCTCCAAGAGTAGAAATTTAGATCAGTTTGTGAAAATTACAGAGGCACTGAATTTCCTTAATTATGATGAACTTCTTAGTAAAGCTGCTTGGGACTGGAATGGGTTGTCTTGTGGGGAGGTAAGGATGTTGCATTATCACAGGTAGCCTACAAGCACCTGTTTAGCATTCTGAGATACCTCTCTTTGGGTGGGAGACTGGAATACATGTCCTCTAAGACCCCTTTTGATAACTCTAAGGAGCCTCACTTGGATCAGGACTGTCCAGAAAGGCAGACGAATTTGTCAGTAGCAGCAGCCCACTTAAGACCTCTCACCACCTGCCCTTATCTCAAGGACAGCTGAAAGTGGTTAAAAACAGCAAACACCTCCACATCCCCTTAACAGGGCATCACACATCGCCGGGCCAGCTCTGGGAAAGGAAGCACCGTGACTCATCAGTGTGGGGTTCGAGCATTGTGGCTGCCTCAGGAATGTAGGGAGAAGGTTTCCCAATCTCTCTTTATTTGTTGCCAAATCTGTCTGGAAGCTGTTGGGCCCAGTGAAATTAAAAGTCACTGAGTGTTTTACTGGCTTTCCCCAGAGTGTAAAGCCCTTACAGGAGAAGCTGACTGCCCCTAGATGAAGAGACCAGAATGAGAAGGAGGCCATTTATGGTTTGCAATTCAGAACAAGGACACCATGAAAAGAAGATGATGGGCAGGATTCTGAAATGAAACCATGACACACACTTGTAAGGTGAAACTGCAGTCACTTTTCAAATCCAGATGAACCACAAAAACCAAGCAGAACTGTACACATCACAGGCAACTTCTCCTGAAAGAAACTGAGTTGGGCCCACCCAAATGAGCAAGCACAAACAGAAACGTGTTGTCTTCCCAGAAAAGTGAAAAGATCAAACATTCCCTGGGCAGCCAGGACCCAGACCACACCCAGTTTACCAGCAGAACATCTTTGACCTCTCTCGTTTATTCAAGACCCATCAGCGAGAGACTAAACTGTGCAATGGAAAAATGTCCCAGTCACGAGACTTGGCTCAGATCCTTCCTGGACTCATTTCTAACTATGTGACCCTAAGCCTCAGCTTCCTGATCAGGTGAATGGGGACAAGAGTAATTATTTTGTAGGCTTGCTGGGGGAATTACAAGGAATTTATAATATGATGATCAATAAATGACAGCTTATATTAATAAAAATAACAGAAATGGAGAAAAAGAGGAAGCAAAAACAGAAAATATTACTCCCAAATACTTCCTCCAAAACTTACTTTGAGGAATTGATGTGAATTTTTTTATTACAAACATTTTAAGCAAACAAAATATGGAGAGTGTACCCATTCCCTAGCTCTTGATTTCTAGTATTTTGAAATACTTAAAACACATTTTTAAAGAAATGAAACACCGAAGATACAGTTGTGTAGCCCTTGTCTATTCTGTTCTCCACACCTCTACACTCTGGACACTGTCCAACTTCCTTTTTTATGTTCTGTTTCTTGGGGCTTCCTTCCTCCAGCCTGAACTAACAATCACCACAACCAACTTCTCTCTCTGCATTATCTGTATTCTGGCTGAAGAGTTACCTGCTTCTTCTAGGACTGCAAGCTTCTGCTGAGGAGAAAAGGAAACTCTGGCCCTCCAGCACTGCCCACTGTCTCAAAAGGAGCTCCTTAAAAGAGGCTGAAGCTGATGGTGGTCAGGCTAGAAAGAAGAGTGCGGACCCCTCCCTGCATAGTGCTGGGCATTAGGGTCTTCAGCTGTGGGCTCACAGCTGTGTCCTAGAAAATAAATTATTTTGACAAATGGGATCTAATTAAACTAAAGAGCTTCTGCACAGCAAAAGAAACTACCATCAGAGTGAACAGGCAACCTACAAAATGGGAGAAAATTTTTGCAACCTACTCATCTGACAAAGGGCTAATATCCAGAATCTACAATGAACTCAAACAAATTTACAAGAAAAAAACAAACAACCCCATCAAAAAGTGGGCGAAGGACATGAACAGACACTTCTCAAAAGAAGACATTTATGCAGCCAAAAAACACATGAAAAAATGCTCACCATCACTGGCCATCAGAGAAATGCAAATCAAAACCACAATGAGACACCATCTCACACCAGTTAGAATGGCAATCATTAAAAAGTCAGGAAACAACAGGTGCTGGAGAGGATGTGGAGAAATAGGAACACTTTTACACTGTTGGTGGGACTGTAAACTAGTTCAACCATTGTGGAAGTCAGTGTGGCGATTCCTCAGGGATCTAGAACTAGAAATACCATTTGACCCAGCCATCCCATTACTGGGTATACACCCAAAGGACTATAAATCATGCTGCTATAAAGACACATGCACACGTATGTTTATTGCGGCATTATTCACAATAGCAAAGACTTTGAACCAACCCAAATGTCCAACAATGATAGACTGGATTAAGAAAATGTGGCACATATACACCATGGAATACTATGCAGCCATAAAAAATGATGAGTTCATGTCCTTTGTAGGGACATGGATGAAATTGGAAACCATCATTCTCAGTAAACTATCGCAAGAACAAAAAACCAAACACCGCATATTCTCACTCATAGGTGGGAATTGAACAATGAGAACACATGGACACAGGAAGGGGAACATCATACTCTGGGGACTGTTGTGGGGTGGGGGGAGGGGGGAGGGATAGCATTGGGAGATATACCTGATGCTAGATGACGAGTTAGTGGGTGCAGCACACCAGCATGGCACATGTATATGTATGTAACTAACCTGCACAATGTGCACATGTACCCTAAAACTTAAAGTATAATAATAAAAAAATAAAAAAATAAAAAAAATAAATAAATAAATAGAAAAAAAAGAAAATAAATTATTTAATCATTCTTCTTGAAACAAGAAATTCCTAAAAATATTTGTACAATTAAGGGAAGGGATGAAAAGTAACAGAAAACCTGAGAAACATGAGATGAGTCTCTAAGCTCTTTCAACCCCTTGTTAATTCCATCTTTGTTAATTTCTATATACATTTGCAGTCAGGAGACCTGGTTTCTAGGCCTGGCCTCACCTTTTATAAGCATGTGACCATGGGCAAATTGTTCCCTTCCCCCAAGGCCTCTGTTTCCACATCTATAAAATAGGGATAATAATATCTTCCCTGCCTAACCCCCAGAGGTGCTGCAGGGATCCCAGCAGATAATGGGGGCAAATATACTAAAGCACTATCTGCATCTAGATACTCTCCATATTGCTGCATCCTGGAGGTCAGGGGATGGTTGGGGCTCTCGGGCTGCTCTCCTGCCTAGCACTCAGCTCCCTGGACTTGATCTTCAGCAGTCCCCATAATCACTGGCCTTGTGAAGAACCCTTTAATGATCTTAAAGCATCTTCACATTCCTGAGATGGCTGATAATAATAGCTAAAATATTTTACTTAGCACATACCAAACATTATGTTGAGTATTTTATAGTCTTTATCTGGAATCATTAAAATAATTCTCGATGGTAAGTGCTGTTTATTTTTAATTAATCAAACAGTTTTATTTTTATGTTTTGTTTTTATATATCATACCCTTTAATATAAAATTCACATGCTGGTATTGGTCTTATACCAAGGAGAATCAGATTATCACCAAGAATTTATCAAAGAGCACAAGAACAGCTGAAGTGTGAAGTTCAATGGGGAAAAATGTATTATTAATTACAAGGTGGGAAATCATTGTTTTCACAGGCATTGATGCAGTGTAGGCCCTGTTACCCCCATTTTACAGTTAAGGAAGCTGAGGCGCAGAGTGCTGAAACAACTTGCTGAGAAACACACAGCAGTGAGTGGTGTGAAGCCAAAACTTGAGCCTAAGTCTCACTGGATCCAAGGTCCATTTTCTTTCAACTACATTATACACTTGCTTATAGAATCTTTGGCTGCTCTTGGTGTCCTCAGATCATATCCTTCATCCTTGCAGGCACAAGGCTGACAAAAGTTAAGGATTGGACAAAAATGACAATAAGGGCATCGTTACCCAGTCTTCCTTGAAATTGGGTGTTTGGAGGGTGGGTTAGGGTAGGGACAGAGATTCATGGTTGGGGCAGGTGGTGAGGCTTAGACAAGGAAAGAAGTACTGAAATGGTCCACATGAACACTCCTAGGAGAATATATTGATATTGAAACATTCTGGGCACAACTCAGTGTTAATCCAATAAACATTACTTAGTGCCTAATATTCTGGTGCTGGGGCTACATACAGTGCTTATATGTGCTTCCCGCCCCTCATAAACACATGACAAGCCTGAAATGCTTGTGTTAAATATTTTTTAAATTAAAATTAAAAAATACAGGCTGGGTGTGGTGGGATTACGCCTGTAATCCCAGCAGTTTGGGAGGCCAAGGCGGGAGGATCACCTGAGGTCAGGAGTTTGAGACCACCCTGGCCAACATGGTGAAACCCCGTCTATACTAAAAATACAAAAATTAGCTGAGCATGGTGTTGAGCACCTGTAATCCCAGCTACTTGGGAGGCTGAGGCAGGAGAATCACTTGAACCCAGGAGGCGGAGGTTTCAGTGAGCCGAGGTCATGCTACTGCACTCCAGCCTGGGTGACAAGAGCAAAACTCTGTCTCAAAAATAAATAAATAAATAAATAAAAAGAGATAAAGCTAATACATGCTATTTTGCAGAACTTGGCAGAAAAAGGACGAAGGGAAAAGGGAGAATCACAGCTGAGACTGTGTTTACATAATAAACTCATTGTGGTCTTTGTGTGTGTTGGGGAAAGCCTGGCAGAACCAGAGAATTTAAGCAAGTGGAGTCTGTGGGGGGAGGGGATTAGGAGGTCATCTTTGCCTTACTCTAACTTCCCCAGAAGATATTGAGGCTGGGCCCCTTCTATTCCTGTCCTCTCAGTACCTAACATAATTGGAAGAAGCAAAGGCTTGGATGCCTCAGAGCACTAGCCCCAGTACCACCCATGTGGGGCTGTTCTAGCTTGGTAGTCAATGACACCATCACACAAATTCCTCAGCCCTGAGAACCCTCTCTCATCAGCTTTCCTCTTGCCAGCCTGGGACCTGATGGAATGGAAAATAGAGAACTCTGCTAGTTATAGAACATTGTGGCTACCTAGTTAATACCTGGAAAAGCAAGAAGAGGGTATATATATTTTAGAAATAAAAGTGAAATCTAATATTTTTACAGAGTCTTAGAGTTTACAAAGCTTTGGCATCTACCATCTCATCTCTTTGTATTTGAGTCTCAGCATAATCTACGAAACAGGCTGTATTTTGCCCATTTGACAGATGGGAGGACAAAAGCCCAGAAAAGTTAATGTTGCCATCCTAGTATGTCTGAGATTAGGAACGAATAGAGAGGCATATCCCTGAGTGTAACAGGGAGGGCCTTATTAGGGAAGGCATCTTGGAGGTGACTCAAGAGCTGAGTAGAAAAACAGAATTATGCACTAAATAAAGAAAGGGAGACTCCAGGTAGGTGACTTTGCAAAGACTTGAAAACATGGACTGCCGGAGAGGTTGGCAGGAGCACGATGATGATGATGATGATGATGACGACGACGACGACAACGATGATGACAAATGACAGCAGCTAACATCTATCCGTTGCTTACTATGTGTAGATACTGTTAGAACAGATACTCTTCAAAGCAGTTTATCTGCATTAACTATAAAACCTACCTTGTAAGGTAGGTACTTTTATTATCCCCATTTTACAGATGACAAAACTAAGGCACAGAGACGTAGCTTGCCTATAACATCATATAGGAATGATCTTAAGGGCTAATATAAGAAGCATGAATTTTATCTGGAGAGCCGAGAGCACCCCCCTCACTCTACTTAACAGAGAGGAGGTGGGCACAGACTTCTGATTTAGAAAGTCTTCTTGGATGCAGGGTGGACCGAGGTCGGAGAGGGGAAAAGAAACTAGAACCTGACTCAGATATCTGTCCAAGGAAGACCTGAACAGAGACAGTGGGGATAGACAGCAGAGGACTATCCCACAATTCCTCATGTTTGTGGATAAGAAATTGTCCCTCACGCGGATCACGAGGTCAGGAGATCGAGACCACCCTGGCTAACACGGTGAAACCCCGTCTCTACTAAAAATACCAAAAAAATTAGCCGGGCGTGGTGGCAGGCGCTTGTAGTCCCAGCTACTCAGGAGGCTGAAGCAGGAGAATGGCATGAACCCAGGAGGTGGAGCTTGCAGTGAGTTGAGATCATGCCACTGCACTCCAGCCTGGGTGACAGAGCGAGACTCCGTCTCAAAAAAAAAAAAAAAAAAAAAAAAAAAAAAAAAAATTCGCCGGGCGTGGTGGCTCATGCCTGTAATCCCAGCACTTTGGGAGGCTGAGGTGGGCGGATCACCTGAGGTCAGGAGTTTGAGACCAGCCTGACCAACATGGAGAAACCCTGTCTCTACTAAAAATACAAAAAAAAATTAGCCAGGCTTGATGGCTCATGCCTGTAATCCCAGCTACTCGGGAGGCTGACGCGGGAGACTTGCTTGAACCTGGGCGGCGGAGGTTGTGGTGAGCCGAGATCACGCCATTGCACTCCAGCCTGGGCAACAAGGGCAAAACTCCGTCTCAAAAAAAAAAAAGAAAAAAGAAATTGTCCCTCACATGTCTCTGCTTCCTCTGTCTGTCAAGGCAGAATATATTTCAATCTTCCTGCCTCAGGAATTGCGTGAAAATTAATGGGACAGAGGCCCAGCTGGCTTTCATCTGCTAAACAACACCCTTGCACGACTGGTGGTGCACATTAAATGCTGAACATATAAAATGTGCTTTGATGGAGGACCTGGGAATAATTATAGCTTGCTAATTATTGTTAATTTTACCACAGCTTTGAAACTCTAGACTTTCTCAATGACTCAAAAAGAGATTGCAACCCCTGTATGCCATGAAACTAGCCACACAGTGGCAGACAAGCAATTTCTCACAGGCTCCATTCTTTCATTATTTACATGGTTCAGCTACTTACGTGGGATACAGGAAAAGAAAAGCAACGATTTGCTGTGTTAGAATCAAATTGTACAAAAAACTCTTTACAGTCTTGCTGGCTCTTTAAGAATTTGTTCCTGTTTGTCTCTTTATAGCCAGTGCACAAATAAATATTATGTGCGTGTGTGCCTGTGTGTGTGCGCTTGTGTGAGGTACAGAAAATTAGTGTTTAACAGAACTTTTAACCCTCTGGACACCAGGATACCTGTGTTTTACCCTTGATATGGTGAGTAACAGAACTGCTTCCCTAACTTCCCTTCAGATTCTGTGTCACTTCGTGTCCACAAACACTTTATTTAAGGTCTCATCACTCCTAGGCAGGGTGCCAAAGACCCCTCTCAGAAATATGAGGAAGTTGATAGCAGTGTGACTTCAGGTCTTTAAGCCTCATCAGTACCACCTATAAAACGGGTCTGATAGTCCCTACCTGTCAGGACTGGTGTTAGGATGAGATAATGTTTGTGAACTGTAAACTATATAAACGTGTGCTACTGTGAGAACTGGACAAAGAAGAGAGGGAGTGAGAGAAATTAAGGGAGGGCTGGGGCTGGGAAAGAACGAAAAGGGAGTCGCGTATAGAGGAGAGCGCGACAGTCGCGAGCCACACTTTGCAATGAAACTCTTTAGACTTTCTGCCGGGAGAGCGGCCCAGACGCGCCAGGTCTGTAGCAGGAGGCCGCGCCGAGGGCGGGTCCCCAGAAGCCTACAGGTGAGTATCGGTTCTCCCCTTCCCGGCTTTCGGTCCGGAGGAGGCGGGAGCAGCTTCCCTGTTCTGATCCTATCGCGGGCGGCGCAGGGCCGGCTTGGCCTTCCGTGGGACGGGGAGGGGGGCGGGATGTGTCACCCAAATACCAGTGGGGACGGTCGGTGGTGGAACCAGCCGGGCAGGTCGGGTAGAGTATAAGAGCCGGAGGGAGCGGCCGGGCGGCAGACGCCTGCAGACCATCCCAGACGCCGGAGCCCGAGCCCCGACGAGTCCCCGCGCCTCATCCGCCCGCGTCCGGTCCGCGTTCCTCCGCCCCACCATGGCTCGGGGCCCCGGCCTCGCGCCGCCACCGCTGCGGCTGCCGCTGCTGCTGCTGGTGCTGGCGGCGGTGACCGGCCACACGGCCGCGCAGGACAACTGCACGTGTCCCACCAACAAGATGACCGTGTGCAGCCCCGACGGCCCCGGCGGCCGCTGCCAGTGCCGCGCGCTGGGCTCGGGCATGGCGGTCGACTGCTCCACGCTGACCTCCAAGTGTCTGCTGCTCAAGGCGCGCATGAGCGCCCCCAAGAACGCCCGCACGCTGGTGCGGCCGAGTGAGCACGCGCTCGTGGACAACGATGGCCTCTACGACCCCGACTGCGACCCCGAGGGCCGCTTCAAGGCGCGCCAGTGCAACCAGACGTCGGTGTGCTGGTGCGTGAACTCGGTGGGCGTGCGCCGCACGGACAAGGGCGACCTGAGCCTACGCTGCGATGAGCTGGTGCGCACCCACCACATCCTCATTGACCTGCGCCACCGCCCCACCGCCGGCGCCTTCAACCACTCAGACCTGGACGCCGAGCTGAGGCGGCTCTTCCGCGAGCGCTATCGGCTGCACCCCAAGTTCGTGGCGGCCGTGCACTACGAGCAGCCCACCATCCAGATCGAGCTGCGGCAGAACACGTCTCAGAAGGCCGCCGGTGACGTGGATATCGGCGATGCCGCCTACTACTTCGAGAGGGACATCAAGGGCGAGTCTCTATTCCAGGGCCGCGGCGGCCTGGACTTGCGCGTGCGCGGAGAACCCCTGCAGGTGGAGCGCACGCTCATCTATTACCTGGACGAGATTCCCCCGAAGTTCTCCATGAAGCGCCTCACCGCCGGCCTCATCGCCGTCATCGTGGTGGTCGTGGTGGCCCTCGTCGCCGGCATGGCCGTCCTGGTGATCACCAACCGGAGAAAGTCGGGGAAGTACAAGAAGGTGGAGATCAAGGAACTGGGGGAGTTGAGAAAGGAACCGAGCTTGTAGGTACCCGGCGGGGCAGGGGATGGGGTGGGGTACCGGATTTCGGTATCGTCCCAGACCCAAGTGAGTCACGCTTCCTGATTCCTCGGCGCAAAGGAGACGTTTATCCTTTCAAATTCCTGCCTTCCCCCTCCCTTTTGCGCACACACCAGGTTTAATAGATCCTGGCCTCAGGGTCTCCTTTCTTTCTCACTTCTGTCTTGAAGGAAGCATTTCTAAAATGTATCCCCTTTCGGTCCAACAACAGGAAACCTGACTGGGGCAGTGAAGGAAGGGATGGCATAGCGTTATGTGTAAAAAACAAGTATCTGTATGACAACCCGGGATCGTTTGCAAGTAACTGAATCCATTGCGACATTGTGAAGGCTTAAATGAGTTTAGATGGGAAATAGCGTTGTTATCGCCTTGGGTTTAAATTATTTGATGAGTTCCACTTGTATCATGGCCTACCCGAGGAGAAGAGGAGTTTGTTAACTGGGCCTATGTAGTAGCCTCATTTACCATCGTTTGTATTACTGACCACATATGCTTGTCACTGGGAAAGAAGCCTGTTTCAGCTGCCTGAACGCAGTTTGGATGTCTTTGAGGACAGACATTGCCCGGAAACTCAGTCTATTTATTCTTCAGCTTGCCCTTACTGCCACTGATATTGGTAATGTTCTTTTTTGTAAAATGTTTGTACATATGTTGTCTTTGATAATGTTGCTGTAATTTTTTAAAATAAAACACGAATTTAATAAAATATGGGAAAGGCACAAACCAGAAGTCGGCATTTGTGAAAAGTCCCTCCAGATTTCTATCACATTGGTCTCTAATTTCCCAAGACTTGTATTTTTTTTTTATTTCAAATTATAACACTTTTTTTTCCCCCAGAAGTGGGTGTTTCATGTTGCTACTCTGGTGTGTCCTAAGATATCCTAACTGGCCAGTGTAAATGCTATTCTTTCTAAATAAGATTATTTGGAAACTTCCTTCAAACTGCAGGAGGGTGAGCTTGAGGGAGGAAGCTAAAACTAGCTGCTTTTATGAAAAAGAGTGCCAGTCTTTGGTCATCTCTAAACAAGGCTTATCACCAATGGAGACAGAAAACTCTAGTTCAAGAGCTGTACCTCCTTTGAATCCCAGCCCTACTTTGAAATAAGTGGTACTATTTCCATTTAGCCTTTGAGCAAATCACTTAATCTCAAAGCGTTGTGGCTCTAAGATTAAACGACTTTCCCACATAATTAGAGCCAGTCTGCAGTGGGCCCTACACTTTTGCTGGGTGTGCACAGGCTGTTTTCCTAAGACTTTTACTTATTACATATATTTTTTGAGATGGAGTCTTGCTCTGTTGTCCAGGCTGCAGGGCAGTGGAGTGAGCTCAGCTCACTGCAACCTCCACCTCCTGGGTTCAAGCGATTCTCCTACCTCAGCCTCCTGAGTAACTGGGATTACAGGTGCCCACCACTATGCCCAACTAATTTTTGCATTTTTAGTAGAGATGGAGTTTCACCATGTTGGCCAGGCTGGTCTTGAACTCCTGCCCTCAGGTGATCCACCTGCGTCGGCCTCCCAAAGTGCTGGTATCATAGGTGTGAGCCACTGCACCCAGGGATTTTTACTATTAATGTGCTTTAAAGATATGTTTTACCTATTAGCTGTAAAAACTAGCCACTTGTCCCTCTTACACTTATCTCTTACTTTTCAGTCATTCACGTTCATTTATGTGTGTGACTGTGGGGTACCCCACAAGTAAACAAGTTACTACAGTAACTGAGAAACTGATACAACACTAGGTGTGTACAAAGGAAGGGAGTGGTTGGTATATCACATATTCAGCAACAGCTAAGCTAGATCCAGGACTGCAGTTTCTTCCCCTGGAATCCATTTCATGCCCCTCCTCCCATCCTGTTTCTACAGTCTATGAGGACCTCCCAAGACTGAAACACCAGTAAGAATTGGGGAGAGATAGCTCTCAGCTACTGGCTTCTCAACTTAGGGCTGTGGCTGCTATGCGCTGGTGGAGTGGATACTGTGGGATTGCCAGAGATCTCAAAGTCTGCTGCCACTCATCAAGGGAGAAACTCCTCCAGGCTCCAAACTTCCTTCCAGGGTCAAATAAGACTTACCAAGGGGAGAGGGTGGATGTGAGCAGGCTCTCCTACAGTAGGAAGGGTGGCCCAAGTACCTGAAGTTAGAACTGGCTCTCTAACAATGAGAGTGAGACTCCCCACTCTAGGTCTCACTGGGTGCTTTCCACTTCTGAGTCACTGAAGTGCTTTGACGGAAGTGACCTTGGTGATCACCTGTGACCTAACCCCGCATTTCACACATGAAAAGAGCAAGTGAATTCTCAAGATTAATGTTTCTGTAGCACAGCTGGAACCAGAAAGCCTCATTGTTTCAAGAGTCACTTTTAAAAACTCACTTGTCTGCCTGGAAAATAAAGGATCCAGTGGGCAACTGAACAAAGCAGACTCCCTGAAAAAGCCCCTTACTCCATCAGAATGTTGCTTCTGGATGATATTTAGGTTTCTGCATTAATTCAGGACTGTGACTTCTTGCACTTTATAGCATTTATAATTTGCAAAGCGTTTTCACACATATAATCTTCTTTGAGCCATTGACTTACTGGAAGTAACCCAAATGTTGACAAACCTGAGGTCAAATCTTATTCCTTTGGGTCAGGAAGTCACTTACCTCCCCTGTTTCCTCATTAGTTAAATGAAACTATAAATCCCTCTCTCGCTATTATGAATATTAAATGAAGTAATTGATATGAGCGTCTGAAACAATCTGGTGCTTAGTGAAAGTTTCATGTACTTTAAATTGTTTAGATTACATCCATGTCACATGTCAGCAAACTGAGATTTGAAAGACATTGAGTAAATTCATGAACACACACCCTGCATATACCAAATATGGGGCTTGGGACTTTTGCCTTGTGTAGCTAAGATTTTTACTGTTAATGTGCTTTAAAGATGTGTTTTACCTATTAGCTGTAAAAACTAGCCACATGTCTCCATTATACTTATTTCCTCCTGTTCCTGCTGGGTAGCCAGCAGGTTAAGATGCCTTTTTTTACTCACTTCTTCCAAGGAAGAGCCCCCTCATGCTTCTGTTCTGAAAATCAGCTTTCCTCTGCTGGGGTCGGGTCTTAAGAACCAGCTATCTTCAGGGATTGAGCAGCTGCCTCCAAGATTCCACCCACCTCCCCACCAAAAACAAACAAACAAACAAACAAAAAAATACCTTACAGTTCACTGGTTCACTGCCGAGAGCTCAGACCTGGGGCTGCCCTTGGAAGGAATGTGAGGAGCAGGTGTGGCTTGCCCAGCAAGTTGCAGCCTGCCTTCTGAGCCTCCTGAGGACACTTGACTGATTTCCTTGTGTAGGTCACCAGGGCTTTATCCATTCTGTTTCTTTTATTGAAGCATTTTTTTAAAGATCACCCATTCCTCCCTCTGCTTACAAATTTTTTGCTTACCATTTTCCAAGTGGAATCACAGAATGTTATGTCAGAGCTGGAAAAAGCTTAGAGAGTCATTTAGTTCAACATTCTGATTCTATAGATGAAGACACTGAAGCTCATAGAGGAGAATGGATTTACCCAAGTCAGACAGAGAGGGGCAGAGCCACCCTAGAGCTCTAACACCCTGACTCTATCCTGTCTGGTGTTCCACTTGCCTCCCTGGTTAGTCTCCTGATGATGTATTTAGTAAATAGTCACTCTTGTTAGAACTAGAGGAAGGTCCCCCAAGTTCTTGGGGGAAAAATACTAGTAATGAGTGAGTTCTTTCTAATGTAATGTGAACAGAACTTCCACTCCACTTTCTGAAGGAGATATCTCTCCATAGACTTCTGCTATTAGAGGAGGCTAGAACAACCTTGGAAGCCTCCTGTTTATATAAAACAAAGGACCCTTTGAGACCTGAGTAGATTTCCTTTACAATTACTAGCAGGTCGTGGTGGACATCTTCCAGCTGTAATTTCCCTCCTGGAACCATTCCCTGTCATTGCTAAATATCATTAGAGGTTTCATTATAGCCTTTTATAGTGAGCTCAAAGAAGGAATTGTTGGGAGGGATGGGGATGGATGGGGGGCTGGGCCCATTCACTATTAGGGAATTATACTGTAAACAGGGGGGTTGTGTCCCCTGGCACTGCAGCAAGCCATATGTCATCAATTTCAGTGGAAATTCTTAGGTTCATGATGTACAAGGAGGCCAAATTGATCTGGGTAAGAAGGGAAAGATAAATGATCCACAGTGATAGCCTGAACATGTTAACCAGCAGTTTATCAGCAGGCAGCTCAGCTTACCAAGGCATCTTGTCTCCTTGCAAGGAAAGGGATCTTGACTAGATAAGCATTAACTCCTTGGAATCCTTGTGCCCAGCTTTCTCCCATGCTGGATGTAGCTGATCTCTTAGGTGGCCTCAGCACTCTCCACTCCCTTGTTATCTGATACTGTTGGAGGAAATGTCCTGGCCACCCAAATATTTTTATGTGAAGCACATTGTCATATGCAATTGAAGCAACATAATACAGAAGGTGGGAAAAGGTACTAAACTATGCCAGCAGATGAGTCTTCAAGTCCTTGTTCTTGCTTTCCAGCTGTATTATCTTGAATATGGCAGTTCACCTCCCTGAACCTCACATTTGCATTATAAAATGGGTCTAGTAATATCCACTCACTCTAGCTCATAGAGCTCCTGGCTCCTCATCTGACCTCAGTGGGACTGGGGTGATCTCGACTAAGCAGCCAGTTTGACCAGTGTTGGCTCTAGCTGGAGTGCAAAGGCCCCAGTGATTGTGAGCAGTTACCCTGAAGCAGGCACAAGTTGGACAGTCTGTGTCCTCAGAGATGCCTAGCGTTGGTCATTTATTTGTTCCCTCAAATATTTTTTGTCTTATTTGATGCCAGATATCATACTAGTTTGGGGAACATATGAATTGAACAGATACGGTTTCTCTGCTGCTCTTTTTTTTCTTACTTGGCATCCCCACAATGTTTTCAATGGGGGAAACACCCACATTGTGTGAACCTTGATGGGAGGCCTGATGGTCCTGTTCCCTGGCAGGTGGGATATGGGCATGTGACATGGCTCAGCCAATTGAACTCTCCTGCCTGGGCAGAGACCTAGAGGATATGAAGCCATAGATCAGGACAATTGAGAAATTTTCTCAGAACAGTACTGGCTTTGTCAAGAGCACAGCTGTTCCATGGGTGCCAGTGTCCAGTGGCAGCAGCGTTGGTAGAATATCCCAATCGGATTGCCCCACAGCTTGACATTGGCCACATCCCCTGCTGCCTAGGCAACCTTAGGTCCTGTTCATTTTCTGGGTCTGATTCACCAGCCTTCCCACTGATTCTGTGAACTTAATCCAAATCCTCCAATAAATTCCTTTTATGCTTAAGTTTAGCCAGAATCCTTTTCTGTTGCTTACAGCCAAGAATCCTGACTGGTAGAGTCTCTGCCTTTAATGAACATAAAGACTACAGCATAGAGAGTCATTAACAACACAATCATGTAACTAAGGTGCAATTTAAAAATGAGATACGTGCTCTAAAGAAAAAAAAGCAAATATGAATGTTCTGACCTAGTCTTGGGGGAAGTCGGACCCTTAAGGAATTGATGCTTGATTTGAGATGTAAGGCATGAGCAGATGTTATTTATGCATGAAGAGAAGCATTTCAGTAAGGAAGAACAGCATGTGCAAAGGTCCTGAAGCAGCAGGAAGTGTGGATTATCTGAGGACCTGAGAGTAGACAAGAATGGGTGGATTGTGGGTAGCAAGAAGACTGGTGCTGCCTGTGACTGAGGAAGTGGGCTGGGAACAGACTATGGAAGGCCTTTCAAGCCTACTAAGTATTCTGACCTTTGTGCAAATGACACAAAGGGCACACCCCTTGTGCAGACAAGGTAGAAAAATGCTTCCTATCTAGTTGGACTTAACCCTGCAGTGCCAAATTTGGCAAATGGCCTGGTAGGTGCCTTTGTGTGAAGAAATAAGGGTCCTCTACTTTCCTATTGACATAACTTCACCCCCTCCCCTGTCAACAGCATAGAGAAATCCTTGAAAAAACTATTTGTTTTAAAGCAGGGGTGACATAAGCAGATTCATGTTCTGGAAAGATCACTCTGGCTGGAGTGTGGAGAATAGACTGAAAAGGAACAAGAATAGAGGCAAGGAAACCATAAAAGACCAGTAATAGGAGTATTTCAGGTGAAAGGTAAAGGTAGCTTGGGAATGCTAGGCGCAGTGGCTCACGCCTGTAATCCCAGCACTTTGGGAGGCTGGGGCAGGTGGATTACTTGAGGTTGGGAGTTCGAAACCAGCCTGACCAACATGGAGAAACCCCGTCTCTACTAAAAATACAAAATTAGCCAGGTGTGGTGGCACATGCCTGTAATCCCAGCTACCTGGGAGGCTGAGGCAGGATAATCACTTGAACTTGGGAGGCAGGAGGTTGCAGTGAGCTGAGATCGTGCCATTGCACTCCAGCCTGGGCAACAAGAGCGAAACCCCATCTCAAAAAAAAAAAAAGCAGCTTGGATGAGGGTCAGGAATAGAAAATAGTGATAATGATGGGGAGGAGTGGATGTACTGAAGGGATATTTCAGATATAAAATCAACAGGACTTGGGGATGGATTTTATATGGGGATTGTGAGGACAAGGGAAGTGTTAAGAATGGTTGTAGCTTTTGGCTTTCATAACTGGTTGGTGGCACTATTTTCTGAGAAAGGGAACACAGGGATGGGAACATGTTTGGTGTGAGGGAAATGACGAGGATGGTTTTGGATAGTTGAGTTCAGGCTTTCATCCAGAAGCTGACTATAGCAGTCTGGTGTTGTATGGGCTGGAGATGGGAATTTGGGAGGCACTGGTTTATAGGTAGTACTTAAAAGCCAGGGTTAGAAATTCAATTGTCTAGCAAAAGGTGATAGACTGAGAAGGGAAGAAAACTAGCAACATGCTTTAAAAGACTCCAGCACACCAGGACCAGAAAGATGAGAAAGCGTTGGCAAACGAAACCAAGAATGGTTAAAACCAGGGGTGGAGACTAAAAGACAAGCCCAGACTGCTACCAGGGGATAAAGGCCAAGTCAGAGGTCACGGGTGGCAGAGCAGTTTCTTCGCAGGGCGTGGAAGCATTGGTGGAAGCAAAGCCCTATACCAAGAGGAAGAAAGAGAGGGTTGGAGTAAACAAATTTGTGACACATTGTCACAAAGTGACAAATCTGTGAATGTGACATGGGAAACAGAAGTGATGAAAACTTGCTAGGTACAGCTTTACAAGTAACCAAGCTATTTGCTGGTCTGTGATCTTGGATCAAGTTACTTAACCTCCCTGTGCATTTTCCTCACTTGTAAAATGGGAACAATAGTATACCCACCTCCTCATAGGGTTGCTGAGAGAAGTAAATACATTAATGCAGGTAAAGCACTTAAACTGATGCCTGCACACAGTGAGCACTCCTAAATGTTAGCTATTGTTATGGTTATATGAAACTTGAACACGTGGTGTCCATTGCAAGCTCCATAAAGGAAGGAATTCCGGTTTCTGTTATTCACCTCTGTATTCCCAATGTCTCGCACAGTGCCTGGAGCATACTGGGTGTTCAATAATTAGTGCTGGTTGAATGGATGGATAGATGAGATGGGTGTAGATGTCTTCCAGAAGGGCTATCTCTGGTCTGGGAATTTAAACAGGGCCAAGTATGGCCCTTTGACAGCTGGGATTAACTGTTCAAGGATTAGATTTCATACATTTCTACCCATGTCTCACCACCTAAAATAATATTCAGAAGCAAAAGGAAGAAAAACAAAGCTACTTATAGCTCCACAAATATTTCTTAAGAAAAAGCAAAATGGAAGACGTTTAGATAACTTATGAGTCAAACAAATACAAAGCAATAAGCAAGAAAAACACAGCCAGCACAATATAACACTCGAAATTTTAATATGATAGCTTTACTATATAAAGAACATTTTTTGTGTTTTTTGAAACCAGGTCTCACTCTGCCCCCAGGCTGGAGTGCAGTGGCATGATCACCTTACTGCAGCCTCTGCCTCCTGGGTTCAAGCGATTATCCTGCCTCAGCCACCCCAGTAGCTGGGACTACAGGCATGCGCCACCATGCCTGGGTATTTGTATTTTTTTGTGGAGACAGGTTTCACCATGTTGCCCAGGCTGATCTCAAACTCTTCTGTTCAAGTGATTCACCTGCCTCAGCCTCCCAAAGTGCTGGGTTTACAGGTGTGAACCATCACACCCAGCTTATATAAAGAATTTAAACTCAAATTAATTAGAAACACAATTCGTCTAGTTAAGATCTCAGTTTGGTACTTTTGTGCAAATTAGAAAGGGCATCCTGTTTGCTCTGGGCAGACAAATTAGAAAAAGACAGTCCATCTAGTTGGACTCAGCCTTACAGTGCAGGGCTTGGCAAGTGCACCAGGTGGAGAGACACCTTTCAAAGAAGAAAAAGTGCTCCCTCCTCAGTGGAGGGTACACAGTTAGTGATCAGAGTCAGGCTTGATTTTGGCCCCCACTCCCTTGGCCTTGGTGCAGCACATACACAAAGCAAGCTTATGAGATGAATTTCAGTAGAAAAGGAACAAAGGTAATAAATAGACAATTCCTGGAGAGGAACTCGAAATACTAATAAACCTCTTTTTAAAAATATGTCTAACATCACTGGTAACCAAATGAGTTAAAAGCACAATGCTATGACAATTTTCCTTTGTGAAATTAATAAAACTGTTGTTTCTCAGTGCTGGTGAGGGGTATGTTAATTGGTATAACCTTTCTGGAAAACAAGTAGACAATATCTACCAAGAACATGTTTAGTTTTTCTGACTTTCTATTTCTATATCAAGGAATTTATCTTAAGGACATGAATAGTGATGCAAACAAGATTCACATGTATAACATGTTGCATGCAGCACTTTTTATAATAGTAAAAAGGTGAAAATAAATATCTAACTACAGGGGGATGATTATATAGGTTCACAACACCTTGAGATCTAGTGTGTTTCAGAATTCAGAAATGTTCGGATTTTAGAAGGATAATTTGGTGCATGATTTTAATCCCTTCAGCAGGGTCTGTGACAGCATCTCTAATCAATATATTTAGATTTCTGCCATGAAACATTAACAGTCACACTAAGTGGTATAAATAGACCATAAGCAGGCTTAGGTCACTTCAGGTCAGTTTTGCTGCCAAACTTTTAAAACAGCTCTTGGGTTTTCAGCTTTTTGGATTTGTGGTGTTGCGGCTCAGAAATCGATATCCCAAAATGCAGTGCTTTGTACATGCTAAACTGAAAAAGGAGCCTCAAGGTCTTTCTGACTTCTCTCTCCAGATCTGCCCCCCACCTCCATCTCTCTCAAAGCATGGGATAAAGTTGCTCTCCAAAGCTTCCTTATCTGCCTAAAGTCCAGACCTACCAAAGAAGAAAACAATTACCTCCAGTCCCTTCCTTAAGTTTTCATTAACTGAACCCATATCACAGGAAGGAAGACCAAAGTCTGTCAACAAACCTGGACAGACTTTTGTCACAAATCATCTTTCACTCTGTGGGCCCAATAGACCATTGTATGTTCTTCAAGCCCATTGACTTCTCCTCTTATAGCTGTTTTGCCAGGATCCAAGCCCCAAATTCTTTCTGAAGGCTCTCATTGTATATATGTTAAATACATTTGTATGCCTTTTGTCCAATTAATCAGGCTTTGTAAGCTGATTTTTCAGGGAACCTTCAGAGAGTGAAAAGGAGCTTCCCTTGTCCCCGACAGTGGATAAGGGATTGTGGATCTGTATACGTTACGGTATAATCCTTGAGGACTTTCTAACATGGGAAAATACTCACAATATACTGTTACGTGATGGGGGGAAAAGTAACAAAATTATAAAAAGACTCCATTTTTAAAAAATGGGAACAAACATTTTAAGTGCAAAATTTGTTGTTTTAAATCCAAATTGATTGTAACTGCTTTCATTTTCTCTTTTATTTTTTGTCTTTCTTTTTTTAAACTTCAAGGGAATGGTATAATTTTAATCAGTGGAGAAATCAATTGTTCTACTACACTCCCATTTTACTGCACTCTTCACCCTTTGAAAACCCTGCTAGGGTGGAGGAAAGGAAAACCTGCTCTCTCTAGGTGCCTCTCATTCGGTGAGGCAGAGTCTGAGCCTTCCTATATGCAAAGGGAAGGCCTTTGCTTGGGTGAGGGGCTAAAGATCCTTAACTGCTTTGCATAAAAACTTGGGCTTGGTGGTTGGAGCCTGGAGTCCCAGTTCCTGGGGAGGCTGAGGCAGGAGGGTCGCTTGAGCCCAGGAGTTCTGGGCTGCTGTGTGCTATGTTGATTGGATGACCACACCAAGTTCGACATCAATCTGGGGACCTCCTGGGATCGGGGAACCACTAGGTTGCCTAAGGAGGGGTGAACTGGCCCAGGTCAGAAATGGTGCAAATCAAAACTCTCATGCTGATCAGTAGAGGGATCGCGTGTTTGAGTAGACACTACATTCCAGCCTAGGCAACATGGCATGAATAGATACTACATTCCAGTCTAGGCAACATGGCAAAACTCAACTCCAACTCTTTTAAAAGGAAACAACAAAGAAGACATGGGAGAAAATGTTTTGGAATTGGATGGAGGCTGGGTGGTGAGGGGAAAGGAAGGGTCACTTGGCAGAAGATTGGACCATGAATTAGTACCCTGGGGCTTCCATAGAAAACTACTACAAACTCGGAGGCTTAAAATAACATAAATTAATTTCTTCCAGTCCTGGAAGCTAGAAGTTTGAAATCAAGGCTCTAGGGAAGAATCCTTCCTTGCATCCTCTAGCTTCTGGGGTTGTGGGAAGTCCTCGGACTGTGGCAGCATAACTCCAATCTCTGCTTTCTTCACATGGCTGTCTTCCCTCTGTGTGTATCTCTGTGTCCAAATTTTTGGCTTCTCATAAGGACACTACTCGCTGAATGAGGGCCCATCCTAATCCAGTATGAACTGATCTTAACTTGATTATGTCTGCAAAGACCCTATTTCCAATAGGATCACATATACAAGTTCCAGGTGAACATGAATTAGGGGAGGATACTATTCAAATAAGATCATGAAGTGGCTACATTATCTGGGATATATACCCCTGGGGTTCGTTGTTGCATGCCAGAAAAATTTAGGACATGGACACACAGGAGGCATTTAGGAGCAAAGGTTTAATAGGTAAAAAAGAAGAGAAAGAGAAACAGCTTCCTCTTTGGAGGAAGGGGTCTCCGAGAGGAAAGGACCAGTTGGTGGGGAATCCCCCAAGTTTTATAGTCCAGTTTGAGGAGGCAGTGTCTGATTTACATAGGGCTCATAGATTGGTTCGATCAGGTATGACGTTTACATAGTGCACGGGGAAGGCTGTTCGCCCCACCCTAATCTTCTTATGCAAAGGAGATTTCCAGTTAACCAGCATGATCTTGTCTCCTCCTTTATAGTACACGTGGCTGGCAGAGAAGGGAAGATGGAGCTGCCATCTTGAATATGTCTAGTCCTTAGTTCCTGGCAGCATTCAGCCACGCAAGTTCCCAGCTTGCTCTTTGTTAGAAAACGGTTTGGGGCTGCTTTTCATTAAAAAGAAAAGCCTCACCGAGGACTCCCATGCCCTTGCTATCTGACTAAGTAATTTCTTCTTAACTCCTGTATCAATCAGACCCCTAGTTTGTGACTTGACTAAGAAAAAGGAATTCTAATATTCCATTTATTTTAAAGATTATGTCTGCTGAATGAATAAATGAATGAATGATATATATGGAACTGTGACATAAACACCTCCTTGGTTTTTCCCCTAAATTTTCAGATTAAGTTGGCTAAGCAAGTGTACTATATGGGTAGTGTTGTTTATATGGAAATTAAACAAAAGGAATCTTTGTGTGTGTGTGTGGTTTTTATTTTATTTTATTTTATATACTTTAAGTTCTGGGATACACATGCAGAACGTGCAGGTTTGTTACATAGGTATACACGTGCCATGGTGGTTTGCTGCATCCATCAACCCGTCATCTACATTAGGTATTTCTCCTAATGCTATCCCTCCCCTATTCCCCCACCCCTCGACAGGCCCCAGTGTGTGATGTTCCCCTCCCTGTGTCCATGTGTTCTCATTGTTCAACTCCCACTTATGAGTGAGAACATGCAATGTTTGGTTTTCTGTTCCTGTGTTAGTCTGCTGAGAATGATGGTTTCCAGCTTCATCCATGTCCCTGCAAAGGACATGAACTCATCCTTTTTTATGGCTGCATAGTATTCCATGGTGTATATGTGCCACATTCTCTTTATCCAGTCTATCACTGATGGGCATTTGGGTTGGTTTCAAGTCTTTGCTATTGTGAATAGTGCTGCAATAAACATACATGTGCATGTGTCTTCATAGTAGAATGATTTATAATCCTTTAGGTATATACCCAGTAATGGGATTGCTGGGTCAAATGGTATTTCTGGTTCTAGCTCCTTGAGGAATCTCCACACTGTGTTCCACAATGGTTGAACTAATTTACAATCCCATCAACAGTGTAAAAGTGTTCCTATTTCTCCACATCCTCTCCAGTATCTGTTGTTTCCTACTTTTTAATGATCACCATTCTAACTGGCATGAGATGGTATCTCATTGTGGTTTGAATTTGCATTTATCTAATGACCAGTGATGATGAGCTTTTTTCCATATGTCTGTTGGCCACATAATTGTCTTCTTTTGAGAAGTGTCTGTTCATATCGCCCACTTTTTGATGGGGTTGTTTGTTTTTTTTCTTTTAAATTTGTTTAAGTTCCTTGTAGATTCTGTATATTAGCCCTTTGACAGATGGATAGATTGCAAAATTTTTCTCCCATTCTGTCGGTTGCCTGTTCACTCTGATGATAGTTTATTTTGCTGTGCAGAAGCTCTTTAGTTTAATTAGATCCCATTTGTCAATTTTGGCTTTTGTTGCCATTGTTTTTGGTGTTTTAGTAGTGAAGTCTTTGCCCATGCCTATGTCCTGAATGGTATTGCATAGGTTTTCTTCTAGGGTTTTTATGGTTTTAGGTCTTACATTTAAGTCTTTAATCCATCTTGAGTTAATTTTTGTATAAGGTGTAAGAAAGGGGTCTAGTTTCAGTTTTCCACATATGGCTAGCCAGTTTTCCCAACACCATTTATTAAATAGGGAATCCTTTCCCCATTGCTTGTTTTTGTCAGGTTTGTCAAAGATCAGATGGTTGCAGATGTGTGGCATTATTTCTGAGGACTCTGCTCTGTTCCATTGGTCTATATATCTGTTTTGGTACCAGTACAATGCTGTTTTGGTTACTGTAGCCTTATAGCATAGTTTGAAGTCGGGTAGTATGATGCCTCCAGCTTTGTTCTTTTTGCTTAGGATTGTCTTGGCTATGCGGGCTCTTTTTTGGTTCCATATGAAATTTAAAGTAGATTTTTCTAATTCTGTGAAGAAAGTCAGTGGTAGCTTGATGGAGATGGAATTGAATCTATAAATTACTTTGGGCAGTATGGCCATTTTACAGAATATTGATTCTTCCTATCCATGAGCATGGAATGTTTTTCTATTTGTTTTCATTCTCTCCTATTTCCTTGAGCAGTGGTTTGTAGTCCTCATTGAAGAGGTCCTTCACATTCCTTGTAAGTTGTATTCCTAGGTATTTTATTCTCTTTGTAGCAATTGTGAATGGGAGTTCACTCATGATTTGTCTATTTTGGTGTCTGGGAATGCTTGCGATTTTTACACATGAATTAGGAAACTTTTAGACTTCAATCCAGATCTTCAGAAAATGCTCAAAGAACTGGCAGACTGGGTTCTCTCTTTCTTTAATCAGACTGCTAAATACTGTTAAAGCAATAATCTTCATCCTCCATGTGCATAATTACCTTCTTCAAATTATTCCCTTTGATCAGCCTGGGGAGTTTTAAAAAAAATTATTACAGTTTCATTTAGAACTCCCTAAGTAAAAGCAATTACTAGCTTTTATGCTAAAAATTAATCAGAACTTACTACAATTGTCTAGTAGCCATACAAAAACACTTACACTTGCTCATAATGTATTTTACCATAATTTTCAAAATCAAATGAAGATTTAAATCTATGAATGAACAGACACTGGCTACCCACTTCATTCCATCACAATAGAAATGAGAATATAACACTGAACAGAATATTTTTTTTCTGCCCTCGAAGATCTTAACAGTTCAGCTTGGTAGTGGTGGTGGAACAGGGAGAATAAATGGAACAAGTAATTACAATAGTGTGGGATGAGTGTTATGAGGAAATACAGGGCGTTACGAGAACATCCAGCAAGGAGAACTGACGTAAGCTGGAGTGGAAGTAGGAATCAGTTTAGGGAAGATCTGCTCGAGAAAGTTCTGCTTAAGCTGAGACCTGAGGACAAACAGGAGCTTGTCATGTATAAGAAGAGGAAAGGAAAATGTATTGCGGAGGCAACTAGATGTGCAATAACTGACTATATTAGCAAGGACTATTCAGCTATGAATGTTAGCTATTCAACTCAAGTAAGTTTACACAAAAAGAACATATGTTGATTAGTGTAACTGGAAAGTGAAGAGGAGGTGTTAGCTTTAGCCATGGCTGGATCCAAGTGTTCAAATAATGTTGTCAAGACTCTCTTTCTTTCTTAATATCTTTACATTTTTTAAACAGATGTATTAGTTAGGGTTCTTCAGAGAAACAGAACCAAAGGGATAGTGAGTGAGTGAGAGAGAGAGAAATTTATTCTGAGGGATTGGCTCACATGATTATGAAGGCTAAGAAGTCCCACCATCTGCCATCTGCAAGTTGGAGGCCCAGGAAAACCAACGGTGAGTTTTAGTTCAAGCCTGAAAGCCTGAGAACCAGAAGAGCCAGGGGTGTAAATCCTAGTCCAAGTCTGAAGGCCCAAGAAGCAGGAGTGCCAATGACTGAGGGCAGGAGAAGATGCATGTCACAGCTGAAATAGGGAGAGTGAATTCATCCTTCTTCCACTTTCTTGTTTTATTGGGTCCCTGGACAGACTGAATAAGGCTCACCCACACTGGTGAGGATTATTTCTTTACTGTCTACCAATTCAAATGCTAATCTCTTCCAGACACACCCCAGAGGCACACCCAGAAATAATGTTTTACCAGCTATCTGGGCATCCCTTAGCCCAGTCAAATCAACCATCATATTAACCATAAAATTAACCGTCACAATAAGCTATATTTTAGAGCTGTTATAGGTTCGCAGCAAAATTTCACAAAAGGTACAGAGATTTCCCATATATCCCCTGCCCCTCCACACACAGCCTCCCCCGTTATCAACAGCCTTCACCAGAGTGGTAGACTTTTTACAATTGATAAACATAAAATGACATATTATTATCATGTAGAGTACATAGTTTACATTAGGGCTCAAGCTTGGTGGTGTACATTTAATGGGTTTGGACAAATGTATCACATGTATCTACCATTGCAGTATCACACAGAGTGGTTTTCCAGCCCTAAAATAATTCCTCTGGGCTCTACCTATTCATCCTTCACTTTACCCTAACTTGTGGCAACAATTGATCTTTTTATTGTCTCTATAATTTTGCCTTTTCCAGAATGTTATATAGTTGGAATTATACAGTATGTCACCTTTTCAGATTGGCTCCTTGAATTTAGTAATATGCATTTATGTTTCTCCTATGCCTTTTTCTTTTAAAACTTTATTTATTTATTTATTATTTTATTTAGTGATGAGGTCTCATTATATTGCCCAGGCTGGACTTGAACTCATGGGCTCAAGTCATCCTCCCACCTCAGCCTCTCAAGCAGCTGGGACTACAGGCATGTGCCACCACACCCAGCCTTTCATGTCTTTTCATGGCTTAATAGCTTATTTCTTTTTATTGCTGCATAATATTCCATTGTCTTGATGTACTGCCGCTTTTTTTATCCACTCACCTACTGAAGGACATCTTTATTGCTTCCAAGTTTTGGCATTAAGTCTGCTATAAACACCTGTGTGTAGGTTTTTGTGCAGGCATAAGTTTTCAATGTCTTTGGGTAACTATCAGGGAGTGCAAGTGCTGGATCATTGATAAAAAGTAGTATGTTTAGTTTGGTAAGAAGCTGGTCTTTCAAAGTGGCTGTACCATTTTTACATTCTTACCAGCAATGAATGAGAATTCCAGTGGCTTCACAGCCTCACCAGCATTTGATGTTATCAGTGTGCTGCCTTTTGGCCATTCTAATAGGTGTGTAGTGGTATCTCGTTGTTTTAATTTGCATTTTCCTGGTGACATATGATGTAGGGCATCTTTTTATATGCTTATTTATCATCTGTATTTCTTCTTTGATGAGATATTTGTTAAGGTCTTTGACCCATTTTTAATCAGATTTTTTTGTGTGTTTATGTTGTTGAGTTTTAAGAGTTATTCACATATTTTGAATAACATTTTAAAAATAGGTATTTTTTTGCAAATACTTTCCCCAGTCTGTCACTTTTCTTTTAACTCTCCTGACAGTATCTTTTTCAGGGCAGAAAATTTTAATTTTAATAAAGTCCATTTTATTAATTGTTTTTTACATAGATCATGCCTTTGGTGTTGCACTTAAAAAGTCATTGCTGGCTGGGCTCAGTGGCTCATGCCTGTAATCCCAGCACATTGGGAGGCTAAGGAGGGTGGATCACGAGGTCAGGAGATCGAGACCATCCTGGCTAACACGGTGAAACCCCGTCTCTACTAAAAATACAAAAACTTAGCCTGGCGTGGTGGCAGGTGCCTGTAGTCCCAGCTGCTCGGAAGGCTGAGGCAGGAGAATGGCAAGAACCTGGCAGGCGGAGCTTGCAGTGAGCCAAGATGCCACCACTGCACTCCAGGCTGGGTGACAGAGCAAGACTTTGTCTCAAAAAAAAAAAAAAAAAGTCATTGGCAAATGCAAGGTCATCTAGATTTTCTCCCAGGCTGGAGCAACACCGTGAGAAAATCTATTTTTATACTTTTGCATTTTACAATGCAAAATGGAGTCTTTTGGTTTTGCATTTTACATTTACATCCGTAATCCATTTTTAGTTAATTTTTGTGAAGAGTGTAAGGTCTGTGTCTAGATTCGTTTTTTTTTTTTCTGTTTGTTTGTTTTTTGGTATGTGGCTATCTAGTTGTTCCAGCACCATTTTTTGAAAAGATTATCTTTTCTCCATTGTATTACCTTTGCTTCTTTGTCAAAGATGAGTTGACTATATCTATATGGGTCTAATTCTGGACTCGGACTCCCTTTTCTGTTCCTTTGGTCTATTTGTCTCTTCTTTTGCCAGTACAGCACTGTCTTGATTACTGTAGTTTCATAGTAAGTCTAGAAGTCTGGTAGTGTCAGTTCTCTAATTTTGTTCACTTTTAATATTGTCTTGGCTACTCCGGCGTCTTTGCTTTTAGAATTAGTTTGGCAATATCCACAAAATAACTCGATGAGAGTTTCATTGAAATTACATTGACTCTATAGGTCAAGTTGGGAAGAACTGACTGACAATATTATGTCTTCCCATCCATGAATAACAGAATATCTCTTATTTAGTTCTTGATTTCTTTCATTAAAATTGTGCACTTTTTCTCATATAGATCTTATACTTAAAAAGAAAAATTTATACCTAAGTATTTCATTTTGAGTGATGCTAATGTAAATGGTATTGTGTTTTTAATTTCAGACTTCACTTGTTTATTGCTGGCATGTAGGAAAGTAGTTGACTTGCATATTAATCTTGTATCCTGCAACCTTGCTTTAATTGCTTATTAGTTTCAGGAGGGTTTTTTTCTCTTTTTGGTTAATTCTTTTGGATTCTGTCTTTAGATGAACATGTCATCTACAACAAAGACAGTTTTATTTCTTCCTTCCCAATCCATATACCTTACATTTCTTGTTCTCATTGTATTGCATTAGTTTTGACTTCTAGTACAAGGTTGCAAAGCAGTGGTGAGAGGTGACATCCTTGTCTTGTTCCTGATTTTAGTGGGAAAGCATCTAGTTTTTCACCATTAAGTATGACGTTAGCTGTAGGCTTTTTGTAGAGATTCTTTACCAAGTTTAGGAAGTTTCCCTCTGTTCCTAGTTTACTGAGAGGTTTTTGTTTTTATGACTAGACATAGGATTTTGTCAAACGCTTTTTCTGCATGTATTAATACGATCATGTGACTTTCCTTCTTTAGCCTGCTGATGTGATAAATTACATTAATTGATTTTTAAGTGTTGACCTATGAATATCTAGAATAATTCCCATTTGGTCGTGCTATAAGAATCCTTTTATACATTGTTGTATTCAATATGGTGGCATTTTTTTGAGGAATTTTGCATTTATGTTCATGAAAGATATTTGCTGATATATTTTATTTTCTTATATCTTTGTCTGGTTTTGGTATTAAGGTAATGCTGGCCTTATAGAATGAGTTAGGAAGTATTCCTTTGTTTCTATCTTCTGAAACAGATTGTAGAGAATTAGTATAATTTCTTCTTTAAATGTTTGGTAGAATTTACCATTAAATCCACCTGGGTCTGGGGTTTTCTGTTATGGAAGATTATTAATTATTGGATCAGTTTCCTTAATAGATATAAGCTTATGCTGATTGTCTATTTCTTAATATCTTCATCTGCTCTTCACTTCATTTCATTTTCTAGGCCAGCTTTTTCCTCATCTTGGCCAAAATGCACATCAGTAGTCCTTGTCTCATATTCGCCTAATTTAAGAGCCACACAGTAGAATTTTTATCCCTTCAATGATAAAATATGATATTAGTCTAATTGGTCTGTTTTGTCCATGTAGTAGTTTGAAGAGAGTCCCAAAATTTATGTCCATCTGGAACTTCAGAATGGTGATCTTATTTGTTGGGAGGCAGAGGCAGAAGAATCACTTGAAACCGGGAGGCAAAGCCTGCAGTGGGCCAAGACTGTGCCACTGCATTCCAGCCTGAGTGAGAAAGCGAGACTTCGTCTCAAAAATAATAATAATAAAAAAAGAATGGTGATATTATTTGGAAATAGAGTCTTTGCAGATGTTAATTAAGTTAATGATCTTGTGGGCCTAAATCCAATGACTACTGTCCTTATAAGAGGAGGAGAGACACTAAGAAACACAGAGAATAGGGCAATGTGAAGATGGAGGCAGACATTAGAGTGATGCATCTGTGGGCTAAGGGGCTCACTTATATTGGCTTAGGGGTTTCAGCTTGGGATGTGGAGTCAGGCCAACCTGGACTCAGTGCAACCACTTACAATCTTTTAGTAGGAGTGACATAAGCACAAACTGCCCCAGGTATACAGAAGTAGGGTAGCTCCCCAGGCCTGGTGCAGATACATGCAACACTTGCCAGAGTGGACAATTTTGCCCTGTGTTTTGAAGAGTGAATTAGCCAGGTGTTGATAGAAATAGGCATTTGTAGCAGATGCCACCGGTGTCCACTCACATTTCCCTTTATGTTGGTGCCTGGCCCATATTTCTGCACACACTGGTTCAACTGGCAACTGCCAGAACCTGAAGCTCCTTGCTTGAGTCTTTCTCTGGCCTGTAGGAGCCCACTCTATGTGCATATGCAGGAGGCTGGAAGTGTCATAGAATTAATCCTTACTAGGACAGCCCTCAACCAATGCTACTGGCAGGAATGGTGAATAAATAGCCCAGCTTTCCCATCCTCACTTGGTAAAACTCTGTGGCCTGTTTTACACATTCTCCTAGCAGTCCTCAGAGGGACGACACCCCATTGGCCCCTTTTGTAACTAGTTTGTTAATGTATTCTTTATTAGCTTTCTTTCCTTCCCTGTCTCACTTCTCTACTCACCAATGGGTGCTTCCTAGGATCACCTCCCAAATAAGTTACTTGTATTGGAATCTTTGTGCTTGTCACATTTGTATCCTCATCTTGTACATGCTACTCTTTCTGTGTGGGATGCTGTCTAATAGGGAGGTCTCCTTGGGAGACACACAGAAAGTGTAACATGTATAAGAACATGGAAATTTAAGCATGGATACCTCAAATTCCAGAGGTTATCCAAATTATTTGGAAATCTGCTACCTGGTCTAGTGATCTGATAGATGAAGAGTCACCTGTGCTTATAAATAAATAGATACCATGATGTGATGACCCATGTTTTATTTTGGGAATTGTTTAGGTTGAGAGGAGGAGTAGGGGATTTCCTATTTTCCCTGGAGCACCAGTTTCTGTAGAGTATCTGGCATATAGTGTAGCCTCCATAGTATTATTGAATATATAGATTTGTTTATTGTATCAAAATTAGTGTGTTAAAAATGCCTGTAATATAAACTACGGACTTAGGGTGATAATGGCATGTTAATTTTAACAAATGTACCACTCTTGGTGGTGGGGGAGGCTGTGCCCATGTAGGGACAGGGAGTAGATGAAAACACTCTTTCTGCTCAATGTTGCTGTGATCCTAAAATTTCCCTAAAAAATAAATCTTAGTGATTAGAAACAAAAAGCCCAGTACTTACTAAATAATTCATGCGCAATAGATGTTTGTTGAACAGAATTGAGACTCCATGGAAAGGTAAACAAATGCCTTTCTTTGAACAGGCATTACAACACTTGGTAGTGATATATGAGGAGGGGAACTGTGCCCCCAGTGGTGTGTGCTCTAGGAATTTGGAGACTTACTTCAGTTAGAGCTCAAGGTTATGAGCTGAGTTGTTTGTGAGAGCAAAATGATAGAAATGGTTTAAATGTCCATCAACAGTAATAAAGTAAATGATGCAAAATCTTTTCCAGAGGACATCTTATGGTGCTTAAAATGGATTAAATTGATCTACAAGTATTGATAAAGACATTTCTCCAAGGCATGTTGTGCAAGTGATAACCTGGAAGTTACAGAAAATATTCATAGTGTGATACCATTATGTTAAAAAAAACCACTAAAAATATGCCACATATCTTTGGTTGAGATGGGGACTCAGCAGCAGATGGGGTGGGAGTGTTGAGGTGATTTTTTTTTTTTGAGATGGAGTCTCACTCTGTCGCCCAGGCTGGAGTGCATTCGCGCGATCTCAGCTCACTGCAAGCTCTGCCTACCGGGTTCACGCCATTCACCTGCCTTAGCCTCCCAAGTTGCTGGTACTACGGGCGCCCACCACCACACCGGGCTAATTTTTTTTGTATTTTTAGTAGAGACGGGGTTTCACCGTGTTAGCCAGGATGGTCTCGATCTCCTGACCTCGTGATCCGCCCACCTCGGCCTCCCAAAGTGCTGGGATTACAGGCATGAGCCACCGCACCCGGCCAGTGAGGTGATTTTTAAGTCCTTTCAAGCGCTGAGATTCCATAATCCTAAGAAGTAAAGTTTATAGTTCCTTTTAAAAATATACTGCTTTGACCCATATAAGAAAACTGTAAGACTTTATGGAGAGACATAAAAGAAGACCTGGATAAATGGAGATGCACATATTTCCTAGATTGACAGTCAACATTGCAAAGATATACATCTCACCCAAATGAATCCAAGATTAAAAACAACAACAATAACAGAATCAAAAATCCCAATTCCTTTTTTTTTAGGAAGGGAGCTGGAAAAAAACTGTTCAGAAGTTCATCTTGAAGGTCAAATGTGTAAGAGCCAGACAATATTTGAAAATAAAATGTATATTACAAAGTTACAATAAATAGAAAGAATCATGCACTAACTCCAGAACAGTCAGACCAAGGAAAAAAAGGGAAACTGCAGAAACATATGTAGATATTTACAGGAATTTAGCATATCGTAACAGTGATGCTTTAAGTCAGTCAGGACATGTTAAATTAATTGTTGGGACAGCAGTTACTTTGGTGGTCCTAACCATGGGGAGGGCACATGCATGCATCCTTTGTAAAAGCTCCACTGGCCTAATTATTCCGAAAATATTTTAGGTTATTTTTTTTCCTCCTATTTTATGCTGAAATAAATTCCTGGTAGATTAAATATTTTAAAAGATTTAAGAAAGAACAAAGTCATTCAAGTACTAGAATAATGATAAATATTTAATCTTAATTTTGAGACAGACAGTAGATATGATCTCGAAGGCAGAAACCATAATGAAAAGATGGATATTTTTGACTGTATCAAAATTTCAGCAATTAAGTGTATTTTTCACCTGAATCAACAAAGTTGAAAGACAAACTTCAAGTGGGGAAAATGTTTGCTACATAAATGACAGACAATTCTTAAATGTATAAAAAAATGTTTTAAGTTTATAAGATACAAATGAATATATTACAGAAAAATGGGTTAAGGGCATGAACAGGCAATTTGCTAAAGAAGAAATCCAAACAGCATAAAAGCATGAAAAAGCATTTACATTATTATAAATCAAAGGAATACACATCAAAACAACGAGGAAGCTTTGATCTCATCAATGTTTTAAATATTTAAGGTAATTTAAATCTTGCTTTTCAAGTGGGTTACGCATCAAAATGTTAACAGTGGTTATTTTGGGATAGTGAGGTTAAGGGTGATTTTTCTCTTTTTTGTTTTGCTTTTCTATGGTATTAGTATTTCACTTGTGCAATAAAGAAATAATAGTTTGCACTGACACTTAGAAAAGTGCTCATCTGGCATCTTTGAAGAACTGATCTCTGGGGAGTGAGCAAGGGCATGTCCACAGTAAGACCTTCCCCCATGGCCCTGCATGGAGCTCGCTGAGCCATACTGAATTATCCCACACCCAATTTCAGGAGCTGGGTCCTGGTGGCTGCAGTATAGACAAGAGGAACGAGGCTGGAGACAGGGAGACCAGTCAGGATACTAGTGCACTAATAATTTAGATGGCAATTCGTAAAAATAACACACTGGAACTTGGTGTGACCATTCTCTTCAAGCAAAAAATTAACTTTAAAATGGCAGATTTATTCATGTTATGTGGGAAGAAGGGCTAGGATGACACAAGAAAGAAAAAGAAGTCAACTGTGGTTGAAGTAAGCACTGAGCTGATTTTTGTTGGAGTAGAACGTTTCAATGAAGATGCTGAAATTCTCTGTGTTGGAGTGATTTCAAATTCACAATTTCAACCCTTTTGGACAGTCATGCCTGGCACATATTCAAGAAAAACGAAAGGCCACTTCAGTCAAGGTGCCACCCATACATTGCAGCCTTCCAAGTACGTGACCCTCATCAAATCCTGTGGCTGTTTCACCTGGTTCTCATTCTGAATCTATATCATCAGAGGCCTGATTGTTGTCTGTTGAACTTCTGTCTAAACCTGTTATAAGACAAGCCATGCCTCATAATTCTTCAGAGTCACTCTCTTCTTTAACTCAGTATTCAGCATCCAGCACTTTCTATAGGAGGTGTGAATGAATGTCTTTCTGTGTCATGGCATTTAATATAGTTTTCCACTGGAGAAGACTGAATTGTTTTAGGCTGGGTTCCCTGGAAACAGATTCTGAGATAAATCTTTTTGTGCAGGCTTATAGGGGAGAGACCTCAGGAACAACACTTATTTATTTATTTATTTAGGACGGAGTCTTGCTCTGTCACCCAGGCTGGAGTGCAGTGGTGTGATCTCGGCTCACTGCAACCTCTGCCTCTCAGCTTCAAGCAATTCTTCTGCTTCAGCCTCCCGAGTAGCTGGGACTATAGGCACGAGCCGCCATGCCTATCTAATCTCTGTGTGTGTGTGTGTGTGTGTGTGTGTGTGTGTGTGTGTGTGTGTATGTGTGTATTTTTAGTAGAGACAGGGGCTTCACCATGTTGGCCAGGCTGATCTCAAACTCCTGACCTCAAGTGATCTGCCCACCTCAGCGTCCCAACTTGCTGGGATTACAGGCGTGAGCCACTGTGCCCGGCCAAGGAACAACAATTCTTCTGCTTCAGCCTCCCGAGTAGCTGGGACTATAGGCACGAGCCGCCATGCCTATCTAATCTCTGTGTGTGTGTGTGTGTGTGTGTGTGTTTGTGTGTGTGTGTGTATGTGTGTATTTTTAGTAGAGACAGGGGCTTCACCATGTTGGCCAGGCTGATCTCAAACTCCTGACCTCAAGTGATCTGCCCACCTCAGCGTCCCAAGTTGCTGGGATTACAGGCGTGAGCCACTGTGCCTGGCCAAGGAACAACACTTATAAGGGAGTAAGGGAAACAGGACTGGGTAGAGGCAGAAGTGGAGCTTCCAGTCCCATGGAGGTCTCTGCCGCGTGGATGGCCTTGCAGTGTTATCCTCAATTGATGCATAGGAGTCAGGACTGTGTACTCCCAAAGTTTGTGGGGTAAGTGTTGTCGCTGGGCAGAGAGCCTATCCTTGGATGAAGCCGGTGTCTCCAGCCAAGGGAAATCTCTAGGGAGGCAGGCAGCTGCCAGAATGATAACTTCAGTGAATGGGGATCTGCTGGTGTAGCACAGCATCTACTTTCAGTGTTACATCCAAAGTCAAACTTCAGTGATGCTGTCACGGGACACAGTCTTCAGTGTGACCCTTCAAGCAAACCTCCTACCATGAATACTCTGTAAAGAACACCTTCAAAAGCTTCTTACACCTCATTAAGCTGTGCTTAAAATGAAGCCCTTTTCCCAAGGGCATATCCAAAGGAAATTATTCATGTCAATCCTCTGAATTCAGACGGGGTAAATAGCTTTGGAAATTTGACAAAAGCCAAACTTTTAAGTGTAGCAAATCAATATTGCTTGGTTGGAAGGTTGGTTCTGAGAATGGAATCTGATCATGTGTCTCAGTCAGTTCAGGTTGCTACAACAAAGTACTGTAGACTGACTGGCTTCAGCAACAAACTATTTTTTCTTACAGTTTGGGAAGCTGAAAGTCTGAAATGAAGATGCCAGCATGGTTGGATTTTGTGAGGACCCTCTTCCTCGTGTACGAACAGCTGTCTTGTTTTATCCTCACGTGGCAGAGTGGGAGCTCTCTGATCCCTTTATCTCCTTACAGACTTGAATCTCATTCATGAGAGCTCCACCCCCATGACCTAATTACCTCCTAAAGGCCCCCATTTCCAAATACTGTTAATATTGGGAATTTAGGGGTCAACATATGAATTTCAGAGGGATACAAACATTCAGTCCATAGCACGTTGATTAAAAAATTGCTTAAAGGGCAGCACAAAGAAGATGTACAGCCAGAACAGAGGACTTATTCAAACTCTAAATCCTCCAGCAGCCGTGACCGGGAAAATGTGCCGCTCAGATCTGCTCTGGGGAGCATAGTTGACTGCCAGGCCCTGCCCCTGACCTTCTGGCTCCCCAACTCCATTTGTAACAAGCGCATGCTCCCCATAGACTGCTCTTAGCCAATGATCATGCATGGTGTGAACACTAGTGGATGCCCATCTCTGCAAAATATGGAACTCCTCTAAGCAGGCAATTTTGGCCTAAGGACTCCTCATTTTCAAAACCTTCTTAGAACTGTGCTACTACCTGAGGTGCTTCTAATCCAGTCTTTCTTCTTTCCCTCTCTCCTTTAACCAGTGTCATGATCTGAGGGCCCTTCCTGTCTATTCCTGCTCCTGCTCCATTATCCTTCCCAGGATTTTCCACGCAGTAAATATGTCTTGCACATCTGATTCCACCCTGGCATCTGCTTTTTAGAGGGCCTGTTGATACAGGTGGACTAGAAGTGGGGTGATCTGAGAAGAAGATGGTAAGATCGGCTCTGAGAGTGGCTCATTAATTGCCCAACTGGCTACAAGAACTCCATCTTGAGTGGAATGTGGGGTCTTGGATAGTGTCTGGCACAAGATAGTGGCCCCCGTGTGGATTTCAGTGATGGCGACCTGGGAAACTGGCCCAGTGGAGGGCAATGCCATTTAGGTGAGATAGTTAATGCACTTGAAAGATGGAGGGAGCAGTGTCTGAAAGAACAGTGCAGTGGGCTGGTTATTGCTACATTGTGTTGATGCCCTGCATGGGATAATGAGAAAGTGAGGGTCATTTGTAAACAGTTAAGGCTGAGTGGGAGTCAGAGGTCTCCTTGGTAGGTAACAGACAGGCTCTTATCACCTGCAGTGGAGGAGTGTGGACAGCAGAGGAGCAAAAGAGATTTTCATGAAAAGAGTTGTAGAGCCCCAGAGATGTTTAAACGCTTAGCCAAGGCAGGTCTGGGCCCTGGTTGGGAAAATCTGGAATCTTGAAGCATGAAATGGGACATCCTGATAGAATCCCTGAGGATACTGACTGCAGATCCTCAGAGCTTGCAGAGGTGGCTGACCCTTCCCTAGTCAAAGCTAACACTTCCCTTAAGTGGGAAGGCAGTGTTGAAGCCTCTAGCGTAAGGAATAAATAGGTGCCCACTCAGGACCTGCCCCATCTCCTCTTAGATATCTGCCAGGGTGATAACTCAGGTTAAATTCCAGCATCACCCAGCTGCCTGTGTGTTGGGCCTGTAAAGGTGTGGGGAGGAAGACTGCATAATGTAGGAGCTAAAGGAACTACCTAGCGTGTACCAGCAGGAGCCAGGAGAGGACCCCTGGAATGGGATTTCTGAAGGTGCTTGATCAAAGTGGGCAGGAACTGTGGCGGGATTGATAAGGAATCAGAGATACCAAGAGGTTGAGGAGGATTTATTATTTAGGTGCACCGGCCCAGTCGGATTAACATCCAAAGGACTGAGCCCCGAACAAAGAGTCAAGTTACCTTTTAAGCATTTTATGGGGTTGGGGGAGATCTGTGCAGGGAGAAGCATGTTACAGAAGCAAGAAACAAAGACAGTTATTTAATTAATTGAGGCATGCATTACATCATTTCTTACTTTTCAAGGAAAAACGTGTCTTAATGGCTTGAGTTTATCTGTCTAGTGACCTTGCAGCGCACAGCTAAAGAAACAGGGTCTTTACAATGCCTGGGAAAGGGAGAGATAAGGCTCACTAGCCACAGAAAAACAGGCAGTTAATATTTAAAGGACTCCAGCTCTTTCTCTTTCTCGGGGGGAGGTGGGTTTTCTTACATAGAACTGAGTTTCTGTTTACACATTCTTTAATTTCTTTTAATTCCTATTCCAGAACAAGCCTGGCTAAATAAAAATTCATTGTCTTGGGGGCACTTTCTTGGGACTTGGGACTGTAGAAGATGGGTAAACTCACTGCTAGGTGACTATTAGAAGCTGAGAGAAAGCCATAGTGCATGCAGAGTAAAGCAGGAATGCCCGAATTGCCCTTGCAAATGGTAGAAGGACAGAGGAGCTGAGGGAAGTGGACTTGCCTGAAAGAATTTTTTTTGTGTGTAGAGCCCGAAGGCAGACAGAGGGGAATGTTCCATGGGAGGCCCAGAGGATGCATCATATTCTATGGCCATGGGGAATGCACTGGCGTGAGGGGCACTAGCATCACTAAGAAGTTCAGAGAAGGCTCTCCTCTGGAGGGAAGGGCTGACGGTAGGAGAGGCAATCACAGGGCTGGGCTTGATAATATCCATTGGGATAACAGGATCCTGAAGTAGTAGAAGCCAGGTGGTGGCTTTAACCATGAGGACACCAGAAGATGTAATTACTGTAACATCTGCCAAGGGCAGAGGAGCAGCCAAGGGGGCTTGATCCACAGGAGGTTGTGGAGGGCTTTAATAGCATAAGGTCTCCCTAGGGGAAAAACAGACGGGCAGCCAACAAGAGTGTTGCCTAACATCTACAACTGGAGGAAGACAAGAAGCTATTTATCCTATGCAGGGAGTAGTTGCTTAATAAAAGGCACTGCTCATTGCTCAAGTCTCAGACCTGAGCCTATCTTCACACTGAGACCACAGAATCTGTTGACTTAAGAGGTTGTTGGGTCCCTATAAAGAAGAATCCTGCAATACTGAAACAAATATTTACTGTAATTAATGATTACTCTTTGGTCTGTGTCCCACGGCCATTTTCTTGACTGATTTTATGTTGAGGAAAGAGGAATACCCAGACATTTCACAGGTGTTACCCAAAGTATGTAACACACATGGCTCCTCTCTAAGTGTGGGGGCTTATGGGGATCAGGTAATAAGCAGAGTCCTGGATAATGTCCAGCTTACAGTGGGTCCAGGAATACACTGACCCATCCAGTAGTCATTTTCTTAGTTCCTGAGTGCATAATTGGGAGTACATATTGGGCAGCTGGAGCAATCTCCACATTGGTAAGAAGCTCAGGGTCCTTGGTCTTGAGTTATCATGGTGGGGAAAGCCAATGGGAAGCCTCTGAAGCTGTCCTTCTTTCCAAGTGAAGATAATAAATCAAAACCGATATTTCATCTGAGGGGATAGTGAGATGATGGTGGAGATTAATGTCATAATTAAAGACCTGAAATATACAAGAGTGGTTGGTCATCCCTGCCATATCTCTACTTAACTTGCCAGTCTGGCCCCTTTGGAAATCAGGTGGACCCAGGATAATGACATAATGGCTCTGCGCAGTCCAAAAGGAGCTGGATCAACTGGAAATTCCAGAGAACATCACACCCATCTATTTCACCAATGACATTATGCTAACCAGGCAAGATGAGCAAGAGGTGGCTAGCATGCTGGAAACTTTGGTAAGACATGTGCACTCCAGAGTTTGGGAGATAAACCCTACGAAGACTGAAGGACCTCCTACTTCAGTTTTTAGGGGTCCAGTTGTCAGGGGTTTTCCAGGATATCCCTTTCAAAGTAAAAGGCAAATCATAAAATACACATAAGATAAACGAAACAGTAACTTACACATTTTCCAAAAGAGATACCTAAAATTGTTCATAGTGTTTATGTCCTTTGACATAGTGTTTATGTCCTTTGAGATGTTTTCATTGTGCACAGAGTGTAAACATAATAAACTAATATGAGACCTCACTACTCATCCATCACAATCCAGTGTTTATTTGTACTGGCTTATTTGTACACTTTTATTTATTTGTGTTTATTTGTACACTTTTTTTTAATCGCCTGTCTTTCCTCACTGTGATATAAAGTTCACGAAATTCAGGTCTGTCTTGTTCACTGCTACATCCTTGGCACTTAAAATGTAGTTGATGCTCAAGAAATATGTTTTGGTGAAATGAATGAAACATACTATACACATAATTTTGGAGCCAGCTACTTTAACCTCCAGACACTTAAGATTATACTTCATCTTTCTTAAAATGCGTCCCTCCAAAAATCATATGAAAGCACTGTTCCCATACTCCAAAGACTATTTCTATGAATGCAGATTCAGAACCAGGAAGCCTTCGTCTTTTGGCAGTCTTCGAGTCTCTTCCCTTTTGGCCGGTACTGCCGTAGAGACTACAACGGACACAGCCTTGCGTGGATCATTCTTTAGAGGACCCAACTCACCAAAGACGGGAGAAAGTTGTTCCTAGGCAAGCAGCCCAGCCCAGGGCCATGTCCCGCCTTAAGCCACACGGAGGCGCTAGAGCGCCACAGTCTCCGCGGGGCCCGGGGCAGCTGGGAGAACGACTCTGGGCGGCTGTATTGACTGCCGGGTGTGGGCGGAGCGAAGGGCGCCCCGGCCGGTATGGCGGGCAGGAAGTGCGGGTGCGCGCCTGCGCATAGGTCGGGTCTGCGGTGTCACCGCTTTCGCTTCTGCTTGAGTCAGTCCTCACGGTGACGCTTTTCCCCAGCTTTTCCGAGTAGGATCGTGCCCAGGGGAGGAGGCAGAGTGCGGCAGTGGGGAGGGGGCGGAGCGCAGAGCGCCTGCGGGGGCGCCCGGGCAAGGAGTGGGGATCCTTGGGGATGGGGGTACGGGAGGAGGCGTGGGTGGGCGATAAGGCTGCGTGGAGGGGAGGGGCGGGGGGCGCCGGGGCGGGAGACGGAGGGGATCTGTCCTGGGGGAGCCCGGTTCTCCCCTAGCCTTGCCCGGGGCACGCCGGTGACCCCGTGTGTCTGCCCCGTGGCAGTACTTTCGTGGGCCGCCTGCCCTCCCCCTCAGCCCGCCCTTATCCGCGGCTCCGCTTTCAGAGCAGGGTTTCTCACCCGCGGGGCTTCGGGCTCCTCACCCGGCACCTCTGCCAGAGGGGACCGCCTCCCGGCGCGTCGGGCATTCGTCTCTTTCACCCCTTCCCTCTTCAGGAGAAACTGAACACGTTTTCCAGCCTAAACTCGGCAGGGCAAACCAGAACATTCCCCGTCTAAGCAGTTCCGGGGAGTTTTAACAATTTCCTCGTAAACTCGTCTACAGAACTCACTGTATACTGTTTAAATGTCGCCTGTGTGTGGAGCAACAGTTTTATTGTGCCGTGCAATCCTCAACAAGAAATTGTAGTCCAGGGAGATGAAAATCCCTTATTTGGCATTCAGGCGTTGATCAAGGTCGTGCAACCCTCGCTAAAAGGATTTAGGTTCATCTCCGTCATTCTCAGCCGGGGTGAAGGGGTGTAGTCTGACATTTGGAAGCTTAAGAACCAAGTCTGCTGCCGTCCAATTCTTTTTTAAAGCCTTCCATCATGTGTGTACTTTGCTTGAATGATTATTTTAAAGTACATGTCCTATTTTTGCCAATCTGACAGCTGTTTCCATAGAAACTAGAGAAGAAATAGTCATTTTCAGCAAGAGTTGTTAAAACTGTCTTCCAGGCTTCAGCTGTGAGTGCCAGTGAGTGCTGCACTTGCTCATTCGGAGATGGTACTTAAAGAATTAAGGATCTGAAATGTTCGTAGAGGCTAACAATCCAAATTGTTTAATTTTCTCACATCATTAATTTTGTTATCCTAGAAGTCTGCCAGCTATGTTTGTTGACCTGCCACAGCTCTTTGAAGAGAATATGTCAGCCCTGATTTTTTTTTTTCTTATGTGCTCTGTAGTCTAGTGATTGGCTCCTTGAAAATGCATGAATAGATTTCTTCCCTCATTCTTTACCCTTTCTTCAGGATAAACCGGGTATTACAAAATATCAGGCACTGTTTCTATTCAAAACGACACTTGGTTGTCAGTGATAGAAATGATAATGGTTTTAATTATATATGCGTAGTGTTGGGGCTTTTGCTTATACCTTCTGTGTCAATAGGATTCTTTTAAAATTTTTACACAAGTCATGAGAAATGAGAAGGAGTTTGCTTGTCATGTGCAGAGCTAAGCAGTGTGAATAGATGTGCATAGACATAGAGATGAGAGCTTTCTTTTTCTGTGGGGTGTAAGTAAATCAGGGAGTTTGGAATTTAGGAATGGGTGAAGGAGGGTTGGGGAAGGTGCCTGGAGAAGTAGTAGGAGGGCCTGGTTCGCCATATGAAGGAGTTTGTGGAAGCCATGGAAAACCAACGAAAGTCCAGGCGTGGTGGCTCATGACTGTAATCCCAACACTTCGCAGTGCAGTATGATCAGTTGAGCCCAGGAGTTAAAAACCAGCCTGGGCAACATAGTGACACACCGTGTCTACAGAAAAAAATTAAAAAATTAGCTGGGCTGGCCAGGTGCGGTGGCTCAGGCCTATAATCCCAACACTTTGGGAGACCGAGGTGAGCAGATCACTTGAGGCCAGGAGTTCGAGACTAGCCTGGGCAATTTGCCGAAACCCCGTCTCTACTAAAAATACAAAAATTAGCCAGATGTGGTAATGCATGCTTGTAATCCCAGCTACTGAGGAGACTGAGGCACGAGAATTGCTTGAACCCAAGAGGCGAGGTTGCAGTGAGCCGAGGTGGCACCACTGCACTCCAGCCTGGACAACGACAAAGTGAGACCCTGTCTCGAAAAGAAAAGAAAAACAATGGGAATTACAGAAATAGTTGCCTGAGTGGAGGTTTAAAAAAGTAATAATACATCCCGTAGAAATTTGAACTGCACAGAAATATATAAGGTGAAAATACTAATAATCCCTCTTAACCACCATCCTGCCATTCAAAATAATTGTGAATAGTTTGGTGTATCTTTTTTCAGATTTATTTTTGTATATACTAGCATATTTTCTCATTACTATTTTTGCAAATTGGGGAGGGTTTTTTAAAATCTGTTTTGTTCTCTGCAGTATCTCTAGCATCCATTATGGTGCCTAGCATTTAGTGGGCACTCATTAAACATTTTCAGAATGAATGAATAATAATACAGTTCAGAGGTCAAAAATACAAAATCTGAATGTTTGGTTAAGGTCGTTAAAATTTTTTAAGTTCATTGCCAACATTTAAAAATTGATAAATTTCACCTAAAATCTGAAATTCTGGCTTTACTTAAAAGTTTTGAATCATTTGGCCACAGCAAGTTCAAATTCCATCATAACTGTTTGCACCTCCTTTAGATGGTCATGAATCTGCATTCACATCAGTATCACTTTGCTGATATTCACTTGCCTGGACCCTACAAACCTGTACTGTGCGATACAGTAGACACTAGCCACATATGGCCATTTAACTGAGTTAAAAATTTCATTCCTCAGATGCACCAGTCACATTTCAAATGCTCAGTAGCCACATGTAGGGGCTACCTTATTGGACAGTGCAGACATGAACATTTTTATCATTGTAGAAAGGTCTGTTGTATGGTGCTTCTTTAGACGTTTGAGTTTGCCACCTCTGTTATACAGAAGTTTTTAGGTAGCATTTATTATTATTTTTAAATTTGTATATCCCTTTGCCAGAGATTGCTATCTTTTAAATCTTTTAAAGATTTACAGATCATCATGTCATTTTTTAAATGATTACCTGGTATTTACCAGGGTAGGACTGTATGTTAATTGTCGGGGTAGGATTCTGTTGCCAGGGTTTGCATTTTAGAAATAATGCTTTAGCTCTAGTTTGGGGTCAAACTGTAGTGGGAGGGGTTAGTGGTGAAATAAGGCAGGGAGATTAGGTGGGTAGTGATCAACACCATAAGACCACAGAGCCCAGGAAAGGCTAGAATGAGATAAGAAGGAGGTAGAATTGACATGACTGATTTAATGTGGGCTGAGATATTTTGGATGCTAAAGTTGCTGTAGAGATAATCCAGTATTTCTGGAACTGATTAAATGTTGAAAATTGGTAAATTTGGCTTTGCAAAGTGTAGGAGGAACCCTCAGCTAGTTCCAGTAAACAACATGTATAATATTAAAATGCTGTCAATTTACAAAAACAAATGTATAACTGTTTTATACCATGTAAACGTCTTAGAGATCATTTATTTGCAGAATACAGAAACTCATTGAAGAAAGCGCATTATTTTGGGGATAAAGTAAAAGCTCATGAAGCTCAATTAAGTGTAGGAAGTACAATGGTTTCATGGGAATCAGGGAGGTCTTATTCTCTCATATTCACTCTGGCTTTGTGGTCTCTCACTTATCTTCTGTCTACACTTAATAGTCCATTGTCTTTTCTGTGGATCCACTTTTTTTTTTTTAAAAAAGCTTTTTGTTTGTAGTTCTTGCTTTCATATTGCTTTGTTTAGCCATAGCACCCGCTGTAGACCCAACTTACACATGCCCTTATATTCCTGTGCGGAATACTGTTTTATGTAAAATCTTTTCAGTATCAAATACCTACTCCTAGCTCTGTAGCTAATGGTAGGGGTTGCTAGGGATGAATGTGGCCGTCTAAGCCTGTCCCCTAAAATGAGGCTGTAAGATGCACATTTGGAAAAGGACTTGTGCTTGGGCAAGTGTCTGAAGCTTATCTACTACAGTAAATCATCAGATTTGAGGTCAAGGAAAGAAAGTGGGCTTGGGTTGTTTTTGCAGTTTGACTTCTAGAAGAAGACTTTACATTTAAACCTTAAAACACTTTCCCATTTAAAACAGTTCTTTCCATTTTTTTTTGTCTTTCTGCATCTGCCTAAATGGCATGAAAAATAATTGCTGCCTTCCTGAACTCTTCAGCTACTCATGGATGTCTTTTTAAGAATGCATACAGTATGTAGTATTTAATAACTGAATTTTATTATCCCCTAATAGTCTTACTTAGGTTCAGTTTTGTCTCCCCAACTAGATTATAACCTCCATGAGAGCAGGACTATATTCTGTGCTGCATAACTCTCATGGCCCCTAGCCAATGAAAACCTTACTAGCTACTCCAGTATGAATTGTGAAATGACTTCTAGGCTTAAATTATTTAACAATTTTTCAGCTTGGTTCAAAAAAGTAAAAACAAAGTATCTTGTTAATAATGTCAAACTATTATATATCAGCCTGGACTTTACTAATTTAAAATTGGTTGTATTTCAAAAAGGGTTAACTCAAAGTTAATGTTTTACTTAGCATGCCCTTTATTAACATTATACATTAACAGTGCAAGGGCAGGATGTATGAATTACATAAAAAATAAATTTGAGTAATTTTCAAATGGTTTGATATATAGATAATACTATTAAAACTGGTAGTCCTGGAGCATCTTTCTAGATAATATCGTATTAGCTTAGGTTGAAGTTTACATATTTTTTTCCCCAACTTTTATATGAAGATTTTGAAACATGCAGAAAAATTTAAGGAACACATATGTAACTATCACTGAGATACAATGATTGCTGATATTTTGTTTATTGACTTTATGTCCTTTGTGTGTGTACCTTTGCTGTACAATTTGAAAGTGAGTTTTATTTATCATGAACAGATCCTTCAGCAAGTATCTCAGGAATAAAATAGTCAGATAACCACAATATTATCACCTAAGAAAATAATAATTACCTAAAACAACTTGAAATTCAATTCATATTTAGATTCCCTCAATCTGGGTTTTTTTGTTTTTTGTTTTTGGTTTTTTTTTTTTTTTTTTTTTTTTTTTGACAGGTTCTCATTCTGTTGCCCACGCCGGAGTGTAGTGGCACAATTTTGGCTCACTGCAGTCTCTTGCCTCCCAGGTTCAAGTGATTCTCCTGCCTCAGCCTCCCAAGTAGCTGGGTTTACAGGCAAGCACCACTCTTTGTAATCCCTTCCCCTGCTGCTTTTTTCCTACAACTCCTCAAGCAGTCACTCATCTCTCTGTCACTATGGATTAGTTTGCATTTTTTGCAGTTTATATTATAGAGATGTAATCAGAGTATGTACTTTCTTGTGTTTTTCCTGTTTTTTTTTTTTTTTTTTTTTTTTTTTTTTTTTTTTTTTTGAGACAGAGTCTCACTCTGTTGCCCAGGCTGGAATGCAGTGGCGTCATCTCGGCTCACTGCAACCTCCGCCTCCCGGGTTCAAGCGATTCTCCTGCCTCAGCCTCCTGAGTAGCTGGGATTACAGGCAAGTGCCACCACACCTGCCTAATTTTTGTATTTTTAGTAGAGACGGGGTTTCACGCCTCGAATGCCTGACCTCAAATGATCCACCTGCCTCGGCCTCCCAAAGTGCTGGGATTACAGGCGTGAGCCACCATGCCCAGCTTTTTTTGTGTTTTTCAATGAATTTATACAGTTCACCTAAGATGTCAAGTTTAAGATTTTATCTTTCATTGATTTTAAGAAGTTATGTGCCTTGTAGTTTTTTTCCTTTGTGTTTCTTTTGTGTAGGATTTGTTAAACTTTTTGAATTTGTGGTTTTATAATTTTCATCAAGTTTGGAAAACTTTTGGCCATTATTTCAAGTGTTTTTTTTTTCTGTCTACACCTCCTCCCCGCTTTTTGGGGACTTCAGTTAGATGAATATTAGGCCACTTGAAGTTATTGCATACCTCATTGATGCCCTGTGCCTTTTTTTATTATTGTATTTTTTCTCTGTATTTCATTTTAGATGGTTTCTATTGATACGTCTTCAAAGTCACAAATCTTTATTTCTACAATGTTAATCTGCTGTTAGTCTCATCTAGTATGTTTTTCATCTTAGTTCTTACAGTTTTCTTGTCTAAAAGTTTAGGTCTTTTAAAGAAATATATTACATATCTCTACATAACATGCTCATATTTTCCTTTAGCTTCTTAAACATGTGCAGTATAGTTACAATAACTAATATCCTTATCTACTAATGCTGTTATTTGTTTATTTAGGAGTTAGTTTCCACTGATTGATATTTCTTCTAATTGTGGATCACATATCTTGCTGCTTGCATGCTTGGTGATTTTTAATTATAAATTGCACCTTGTTAAGTGTTAAATAGTTTTGTGTCCTAATACCTGTTTAGATTTTTTTTTTTTCCTGGGATGCAGTTGTTGCTTGGAAGCATTTAATCTTTTTGGGGGTTGCTTTTAATATTTGTTAGGTGGGGCCAGAGCAGCTTTCGGTCTCAGACTAATCTTTCTCTAATGTTGAGGCAAAACCCTTCTGAGTACTCTACCCACGAATGATAAGGTTTTCCACTTTGAATGGTGGGGAGGGGATAGGCAGTATACCATGCCCTGTGTGAGCCCTGTATATTATTCCCTGCAATCTTTTCAGGTGGCCCTTTCCCAGCTCCAGGGAATTTTCTTACACATATGCCCAGACAGGACTCAGCTGAATATGGGAGGGGGATTCTCTGCAGAACTCTAGAGTTATTTCTCTGTGCAGCTCTTGTCTTCTCTTGTCCTCTGTCCTGTGAGCTCTAGCAACCTTGGTTTACTTGACCTCCCAGCTTTATCTCTTCGATTTAGGGGAACCACTGGGCTCCACCTAGGTTTACCCTGTCTGCATTGTGGCCTGGAAGCACTCTCCAGGCAATAAGCTAGGACAGTTGTAGGGCTCTGTTTCCCATCTGTTAGGGATCACTGTTCTTCATTGCGTAATGTCCAGTGCATTTTATAAGTTAGATTTTACTATTCTGTATCACATGCTTCCTTCCAGTTATTGCAAACTGATAAAGTTTTACTGTTGTTTTTATCTAATCCACTTTATTGCTCAAATCATTTGCCATTAAAATACAAATGGCTCTTCCCTAACTAAAAATTAAAAATGAAATGAAAAAAATTCAAGCTTCTAAAGTAAACGTTGCATAGTAAATATCGTGGTATATATACTCTGGTTTATCTTGCTGAAAGGCGTTGCTCTAGGGGTGATGAGTTGAAACCCAAGGTAATTTAGCCTGAGATGTGTTAGAAGAACAACTGACACGCCTATTTAATAAGTGTTATAGTCCCAGTTTGGTAAGTAAATATTTTCCACAGATATTTATAGTTTTTTTTTTGTTTCAGGTAGTCAAGTGAAAAAATGAGCTTCATCTGTGGATTGCAGTCTGCTGCTAGAAACCATGTTTTCTTCCGATTTAATTCACTGTCTAACTGGAGAAAATGTAACACATTAGCATCCACCTCACGGGGCTGTCATCAAGTACAAGTTAACCATATAGTAAATAAGTATCAGGGACTGGGAGTAAATCAGTGTGACAGGTGGAGTTTTCTGCCTGGAAACTTTCATTTTTATAGTACTTTTAACAACAAAAGAACAGGAGGCCTCTCAAGTACCAAAAGTAAGGAAATTTGGAGGATTACCAGCAAATGTACTGTATGGAATGATGCTTTTTCAAGACAGCTGCTAATAAAAGAAGTTACAGCAGTCCCTAGTCTGTCAGTATTGCATCCTCTAAGCCCTGCTTCCATAAGAGCTATTAGGAATTTCCATACTTCTCCACGGTTTCAAGCTGCTCCGGTTCCTCTCTTGTTGATGATTCTTAAACCAGTACAGAAGTTATTTGCAATCATTGTAGGCAGGTAAAATGCTTTTTTAGAATAAAAACTTTTATATTAACTTTTTGCATTAATATTTTGTGCTAACGTATTAACTTTTAGAAATTAATTTTTTTATTTATAAAACTGTACTTTTAAAGAAACCTTGCCAGATCCCCTGTCTCCCCCCATTTAGCTCAAAGTGAAGTTTCTAAACAGTAGGTCCTGCCCAATTTTGTTCTGTATGATTTAATAATCTTGAAACAATTTCCTGCATACTAATTTATGGTATAGAAATATCTCTTTAAAAAGTTATTCTTACATTTTGTATAGGCATTAAAAAAATCTTATATTTATGACTACAAAATCTTAGGATATATGGATCAGAAGTGCTGGTTATCACTTATGTATAAGAAGAGTACTTACAAACATTTCTTTTTAATTTGTGGAATTTAAGGCAGCAAATCATAAAATTGAGGAACTTTGCTTATATAAGGGTGGGCTCACTCCTAGTTAACTCTTAAGTCATTAATGCTTCTTTTCTTTCTATTCTGTTCCCAACAAATCTTTGTTTTTTTCCTTGGTGATCCTTTATAATAATATTTTCACAGCTTGTAGTGCTTTAACCCTTTTTCTCTTGTTTGTTTTATGAAGATGGAAGAAAGCTAATCACTGTTTCTTCATAAAGCTTTCTTGTGTTTGATGACTGTGAAGTCCCTTCTAGCCTTCTTACTACCACATGAACCAAACCAGTTTGCTTTTGATCAAAAACCAAGAACTTCTATTTGTAACTTATTGTGTTTTTCATGATTTGGTGTTGGCACCCAAAAGCGATACAGCTGTATTGACTATTGGTTGAAGTAATACGCTCATCCCAGGTTCTTCGGATGCTCTTTCTGATTTCTGCTATGTCCTCATCCTTTTAAATTATTTATTTGTAACTTTCTTGTTTTTGTTACTATTGTTGATCACCTAAAATTTTTCATTTAGAATATGTCTTTCATACATTTTAAATAAAGGATAATGTCATGTAAAGTTTTAAATAGGAAATAAGTATACTCGATAGTTTGATTTATGTCCCTTTAAATGGACACACTTTGTGTAAAGGCATTGGGGTGTGTCACTTCACAAAGAGAACTTTAAGAATTTGTAAAATAAATTTTTGTCAAGAGAATGATGTATATATGGTAAATTTTTGTTGTGATTTTACAGATCAACTCATAAGGAAAATTTTTGTCCCAGTATTGAAAACATTGCTTGTTGTCAAAATGTTTCTGAACACTGCTAAGTGGCAGAGAGTATTGTTGCCTGGTAGAAATTGGACCTTCTCAGATGTTATCTATAAAATCTCCCACTTTCTTATGAATACCTAGGATCTTGTTATCTCTCCTTTTTCACGTTGTAAAGAGGATAGTGGAGTTTCTGCTACTGAGCACTATTTATTTCCAAAATGAATGCTGAGGCAGTTTCCCTTGTACCTTGTGGAATCACTGGCAAATTGTGTTGGAGGTCTGAGGAGCAGTGGGAAAAGTAGTGGTTCCAGGTATAGATTTATTGTACTGTAACCTCTTACATAATTATTTAGGCATTTATCCCTATTAAGTGGCTAAGTGGTCAGACTCTGGAATGTCATTGCCTTCATTGCTTGGTTTTCCTTTTATTACCTCAGTGGCCATGGACAAGTTACCTAACAATTTTATCTTCTGTAACAGGGTTATTATGAAGATTAAATGAGATGGTATATATATATATACAGAGAGAGAGAGAGAGAGAGAGAATTTTGCATGTACTAGATAGTAATAAATATTAACCAGTGGTAGTTATAGTAAACTAGCATCTCATTTAGTGTTTATCCTTAAAATAGCTGAAGAAGAAAATTTCGATGAGTATTAGAATTTTTTAACTGTAACTTTACATCATTGATTATTTTTTCATCATTTAGCTAAGAATTTTATTAATTGGAAAAGCGATGTATTCAGCGAAATACATCATACAAATTCAGGTATTTGAGGACGTAAAATTCTAGTGTATGCATTTGAGCTTTAGTGATATGTGCTGGAATGATTTTCAGAACTTTGAATTTTTCTTTTTGCTTTAGGGGCATAAGGAAATGGTGGCAGGCACTTCCTCCTAACAAGAAGGAAGTAGTTAAAGAAAATATAAGGAAGAATAAATGGAAGCTATTCCTTGGTTTGAGTAGTTTTGGATTGCTCTTTGTGGTGTTTTATTTTACTCACCTGGAAGTAAGTCCAATCACAGGAAGGAGCAAGCTACTATTATTGGGGAAAGAACAGTTCAGACTTTTATCGGAACTGGAATATGAAGCAGTAAGTAGTAAGAGTTGTTTTTAATTAGACTGCTTAATATAACACTCAAAGTAGGAAAGTATCTTAAATGTGAAAGATATGTTGTTTTTTAATTTTAGTCTTTGATATGAAATTAGCATTTTTTTTTCCCGAAGGCCTCAGACCTTTCACACTTAGTATTCCTACTGCCTACATTGCTTTTCCTAGCATTCACCCAGCTAACTCCTGCTCAGCACATTTCACCTTAAATGTCACTTTTCTCAGGAAAACCTTCCTTGATTATCCAGACTGGGTTAGGCAGGGTGACTGGATCAGGCCCTAGGAGGTATCCTTCATACCGACTGAATTATGAACCAGCTCATTTGTAGTTGCGCCCATTGCTTGGCTTTACTGGGGTTAGGTCTCCTAGGCTTTTTTTCTCTGCATACTGTACTTTTCCTTCAAAGCACTCATGAGAGTAACATAATTATTTGCATAATTATTTTTTTGATTGTCTTTCTTGTTAGACTAAGCTTCATGGGGGCAGGGATCTTACCTGTTTTGTTTATGGTTTTAAATACTAACACAGTATGTAAGAGTAGAGCTTAGTATATATTTATTGAATAAATAGATTTATAGTCAGAATTCTTATACCTTGAAAATCAAGTAATATAAGATTTTTTTCCCAAACATCAGTTTTAGCAATTTATTATATTTTTTGAATCCAAATTTAAGTTATAATTTAGAAGTCTTACCTCTTTGGAAAGTATAGTAACTCAGGTAGTTAAACATTTTGTACCCTAGTGAGTTTCTTAGGGACAGAGGTCATTTTCTCTCCAGTTCATAGCACATACACATGTTATGTGCCCTGTGGCTCAATTAATATTTTTCGAATTCATGTCCAGTAGCCTCACTTGACAGCTTTGGCATGGCTGAATCTTTTTTTTTTTTTTTTTTTTGAGACAGAGACTTGCTCTGTCACCCAGGCTGTACTGCAGTGGTGCCATCTTGGCTCACTGCAACCTCCACCTTACAGGTTCAAATTATTCTCCTGCCTCAGCCTCCCGAGTAGCTGGGACTACAGGCGTGCGCCACCACGCCTGGCCAATTTTTGTATTTTTAGTAGAGATGGGGTTTCATCCGTGTTGGCCAGGATGGTCTTGATCTCCTGACCTCGTGATCTGCCCACCTCCTAAAGTGCTGGGATTACAGGCATGAGCCACCATGCCCAGCCGCTTGTTGATTCTTAAGTGAAAAAAAGCATACACTTTATGAAAGTTAAAGTAATATTTCAGAACATTTTTAATTTTCTCAGTACACTTGAAAGAGCTCTCATGAATATAACTTCAGAAAAAGTATCTTCTGTGGTGGCTAGTCTTAATCAGCATCTTTTAGAGACAGTGATAATGCTCATTAGTTCTGAGAATTCAGTAATTTCCTTTCAATCTGTGAGTAAAACACCTTAAAATTAATGAAATGTCTATTTTGGTAGTTTAACTTTCTTATTAGGTATAGGGTGTTTTTCTGTTCAATGCATTGTGAATTTAATTTTCTTTTGTATTTTACTTAGATGAAATCTTAAGTTCTCCAGGCTCTCCTTTTCTTTTCTTTTTGAGATGGGATCTCCCTCTGTCACCCAGGTTGGTGTTGGAGTGCAGTGGCGAGATCTCAGCTCACTGCAACCTCCACCTCCTAGACTCAAGCGATCCTCCCACTTCAGCCTCCCATGTAGCTGGGAACACAGGTGCATGCCACCACGCCTGGCTAATTTTTTGTGTTTTCGGTAGAGACGGGGTTTCACCATGTTGCCCAGGCTGGTCTTGAACTTCTGAGCTGAGGTGATCCTCCTGCCTTGGCCTCCCCTAGTTCTGGGATTACAGGCGTGAGCCATCTTGCCCTGGCCTAGGCAGTGTTTTCTAAAATGTTTAGGAAAGTAGAAATAATACTTAAGTATTCGTTTGTAGTTTAATCGAAAAGAATGAAATTTTGATGTCAATCTATTCATAAAAAAACTTAGTATTAGAATTTATTCCTTTGTAAGAAACCACATTGTCTTTGCATGAATAATTCAGATTTGAGAAATTTCAGTGCTTAATATATGCAGATTTTTATATAATTAAAACTTAAAATGTTCAATAATAAGTAGCCATATAACTTTCCATGAAGCAGAGTAAGCATTTTGTAGTGCTCTTTTAAAATAAGAAGTAATTTTTAATCTTTCAGTGGATGGAAGAATTTAAAAATGATATGCTAACTGAGAAAGATGCCCGATACCTGGCTGTTAAAGAAGTGCTTTGTCATCTAATTGAATGCAATAAAGATGTTCCAGGGATCTCTCAGATCAATTGGGTTATTCATGTGGTTGATTCCCCAATTATTAATGCCTTCGTGCTTCCAGTAAGTAAATGTTCTCAAACGCATTGTAATTGTTAAATTTATTGTCCTTATTTTTTATGATGTTCTAATTGCTTACATTATTTTCTTTGTGGTGCAGAATGGACAAATGTTTGTTTTCACTGGATTTTTAAATAGTGTAACCGATATTCATCAACTTTCTTTCCTTCTGGGCCATGAAATAGCACATGCAGTACTTGGGCATGCTGTAAGTACCTAAAATGAATGTTCAGGTTTGGAAAAACTGCTTTGAAGTTAACAAGTTAAATCTTTTAAAGAACTGATTTTTTTCAGGTTTTTTAAAAATGATAGACTTTTAGTTTTGGGTAATTGCCTTAATCTGCTACCTGAAAAAAACGTGATTGGCTAATTTTGAGAATTTTTATGGTCTTTAGTATTTGATACTGAATAATATTTTTCTTAAATACTATTTTTATCACCTGTCTCTTTTGCTAAAACGTAATTATTCTCAACCCCTAATTATTTCAAATTAAATTTTAAACTTTCTATAATTATTAATATACTTGTAATCTAGTCAGAAAATTAATTGTAGGGAAGTGATATTACTATTTAAGTGGGTAAATCATCTTTCTTTTTTATTCATTCTCAGAGGATAGCTTGGAGCATCTTTGAAAATGTCTAGAATGATGTGTCATGTGTAATTAATACAGAGTAATAACAATACCTTGCCATTTTACAGTTTACTGAGCTTTTTAGTATATGTGGCTTCCCATTCATAATTTTAATACCCAATGAGGTATGTATTTATTATTACTATTTTATATAAGAGAAAACTAATGTTTAGAAAAACAGTAACATGACTAACCTGACAAAGTAACCGAACTGGGACTTTAACGTGGGTCTTCTGTATGTTAGTCCAGTGTTTCTTCCTTTCACTACAGTTACCTGGTTTTTAGCAGCGCTTTTCTTATAGATCATAGAATTCAAGTTGATGTATGCTCCTGTGAATACATGTCTGTTCATCTTGATATAAGTCCAGGAAAAATAACACATCTGTTTCACACATTTTTTAAATTGTTATTCATTTAAAAATATAAATGGCTCTTTTGTCTACATTAGAGAAAGTATTTTTTAAATTGTAAACGCAAAGGTACATAGTGAAGTGACTGAAATGCTAAATCAGAAATACAAGTAACATTAACTTCAAATGGAAATGATAATGATTCTAATCCTTCTAAGAGTAATCTCAAATTCTACCTGTTCCTTAGACTATTAATAAGATGAGATGGGCTAAATTGTTTTTCTGAAACACTGAAAGTAATTATCTCCTTGATTTCTTTTGAGTTACAGGAAGATTTTAAAAACATTTTTCTTGACTGGGTGCAGTGGCTTATACCTGTAATCCCAGCACTTTGAGAGGCTGAGGCAGGAGTATTGCTTGAGCCCAGGAGTTTGAGACTGGCCTCGGCAACATAGACTCAGTCTGTACAGAAAAATTTTAAAAATTAGCTGAGCATGGTGGCTCACACCTGTAGTTCCAGCTGTTCTGGAGCCTGAGGCAGGAGGATTGCTTGAGCCTGGGAGATCAAGGCTACAGTGAGCCATGATCGCACCACTGCACTCTAGCCTGGGTGACAGAGTGAGACACTGTCTCAAACAAAAAAGTAAGAAAAAAAATCTTTTTTTCTTAAACAAATATACACAAGAATACGTCTAAGCAGTGTTATTATATGCACTCTAATATCTTTCAAGTAATGGCTTCACAACTGCAAAATCAGTTTTGGCCATTTTAGCATTTGAAAGGTGTTACTATTCAGTACATTTGTTTTTTAGGCATCTAGTTCAGTGCCTTATATTCAGTGTATTGTCATCTCTATCAGTGCAAGAACAGTAGTAGATGAGGTGTAAAAAGCAAACAGCAGCCTTAAAAATAGAACATAGTTATTAATATGTTTTTGCAGAGATCTTAAACATTGTCAGCACAATATTTTCTCTTTTGGGAGTCTCAGTTTTGATTTTATCTAGGCGTTTATGTTTTCTTTATTCTACAAATACAGGTTTTTGTGTGTGTATTTCCAGTTTTCTAAGACTGTATAATAGCAATTATATTCTTTAATAACAAGGGCTTTCTCTTCTATAACAACTTCCTTATTTTGAGTTTCACTTTTTCATGTTAAAATAATTTCATAATTGGGCTGGGCACAGTGGCTCACCCCTGTAATCCCAGCACTTTGGGAGGCTGAGGTGGGTGGATCATGAGGTCAGGAGTTCAAGACCAGCCTGGCCAACATGGTGAAACTCCATCTCTGCTAAAAATACAAAAAATAGCTGAGCATGGTGGTGGGTACCTGTAATCACAGGTACTCGGGAGGCTGAGGCAGGAGAAACATTTGAACCTGGAGGCGGAGGTTGCAGTGAGTCGAGACCTCGCCACTGCACTCCAGCTTGGGCAACAGGGCAAGACTCTGTCTCAAAAAAAAAAAGATAAATCCATAATTGTTTTTCAAAACACACATTTGTGTTTTGAGGCAAAGTAATGAGGCAAATATAAGGAGGTAAAGTATGTTTTGTGAGGGTACAATATTTGTTAAGGGACAATATTCTAAGTCAGTTTTTAGTTTTCAGTCATTTTTCATACATTCAAGTAATGACTGCTATTTTATCAGTTTCAGCATTACAACATTAACATTTACTAATCACCTTTAATGGCAAACCATGAACAATCTAGTTCATTAAACTTAGATATTACTACTCAAAACAACTATTTTATGAAAAATCTTTTTTGGTAACTGATATAAGTAAATACAAAAATTCATAGAACCTGATTCTTTCATGATAAATACTAGACTTACAAATTTACAAACTTGTATAAATGAATAATATTTCATATATTAGGTCTTGAAGATCAGAATACTTTTATTTAAAATAAACTTCCAGTCTTTTTCTGAATTTTTTCTTGTTTTAAGTGCTTCATATGTTAGGTAGTGTTTAGTCTTTATCCAAAAATATTAGTAAAATAAAACATTTACTTGATTTTTTAAAATGATGCAACTATATTAAAAACTAAAACTGACCGGGTTTGATTTCTGGTCCTTTTAGTAATAGCTGTGCAAATCTGGGCAACTCTTAACCTCTCTCTATCTCAGTTTCATTATCTATAAATGTAGGGATAATTGTAGCTATTTCACAAGATTATTATGCCTGTTAATATAAGAAATTGTAGGTTTATATCCTCTGACTAATAGTAAGTGGCTTAGTAGATACTAGTTAAATGAATGAATAGGTATATAAGTAGATAAACCAAGGAAGGGAAAAACAGACCCGGAAAGAATAAGCAAAAGAAGAAAAAGAGAACTCTCAGTCTTAGGTGGAGAAGGTCAGGTAATTGTAACACATGATGAACTAGAAAATGTAAGCATATACTGTCTCAATGTATAAAATGTAGTTTTTATTATTTTGATTATTCTTAGGCAGAAAAGGCTGGCATGGTTCATTTGTTGGATTTCCTAGGTATGATTTTCCTCACAATGATTTGGGCCATTTGTCCTCGAGATAGCTTGGCACTTTTGTGCCAGTGGATACAGTCTAAATTGCAGGAGGTAAGTCTGAGACAATAACTTGAATTGATCATAGCCTCTGGTGAAGATATTTTAATACTACTGTAAAGCAGCAAATCCAGAGATGTTTTTACATTTTACTATGAAATATGGGTACGAATTTTTAGTGTCTTATGTTTTCTCGTTTTTAGGGGATATTCTTATATATGAATATTTAAATTAAGGAATACTACATCTCTCAAATGATGGGTATGGAGAGTTAGAAGGGCTTGGCAACTTTTGGCTAATAAAATTTTTGAAAATATATTTATTGGTTTTACAGAGAGAAAACCCAGCCACTGACCCTTCCTTTCGTAGTAACTGAATGACTCCCAAATTCAGCTGTCCCTTGGTATACAGGACTTCTTGTGGATACCAAAATCTGAGTATGCTCAAGTCCTTGATAAAAAATGGCATGGTATTGGCCGGGCGCCGTGGCTCATGCCTGTAATCTCAGCACTTTGGGAGGCCAAGGTGGGTGGATCACGAAGTCAGGAGATTGAGACCATCCTGGCTAACGTGGTGAAACCCTGTCTCTACTAAAAATACAAAAAAATTAGCCTGGCGTTGTGGCGGGCGCCTGTAGTCTCAGCTACTTGGGAGGCTGAGGCAGGAGAATGGCGTGAACCCAGGAGGCAGAGCTTGCTGTGAGCCGAGATTGCGCCACTGCACTCCAGCCTGGGCGACAGAGTGAGACTACATCTCAAAAAAAAATAAAAATAAAAATAAAAGCATGGTGTTTGCATGTAACTATGCACATCCTCTCATATACTTTAAATCATCTCTAGATTACTTGTAATTCAATGTAAATGCTATGTAAATAGTTATTTTACTATATATATTTTTAAGTTGTAGTTTTTTAAATTGTTTTTTCGTAGATATTTTCTATCCAAATTGGTTGAATCTACCAGGTGCATAATCCACAGATATAGAGAGCCAACTGTATTTGGGTTTTAATGCGGCACTGTTAAAACCTCTGAACTTTAATGGGCACAGAATTGGCTAAAGCTACTTTGCCATCCTTCCTTGCTTTTCACTCTGTTAAAATATCATTGCTTTGAAAATGCTGAAAGGAAAGTCTTACTAGGTGTTTGTTAACTTTTGTTTTTAGTGCTTATGTATAATAATCATCTCAAAAATGTATTGAGTGCCTCATTTTGTCCAAAACACTGTAATACTGAAAGTAGGTCTTGCAATCTTTATAACTACTTTGTTAACCATAATTTTTTTGTTTTACATCTTTCTTTGAATATTTCCTCTTGTCCCAGGAGGTTTGGTTATTTAGGAACAATCTGTTATTTGTTTATTTAATGATTTGTGGAGTTCCCATCAGAGTGCCATCTGGGTGCTGTTTAAATCTAATGTGCAAAATTCTATGAGACAAATTGTTTTTGAGATTGGATAACTAAGTCTATTATTCAGTATTAACATGTCATTTGGCTTCATTTATATTGAAGTAAAGGTTCTTAAAGAGAAAATAAAAGATTGGTTATTCCTTAGGTTGTAGGATCTCATATTTTGAATTTTGTTTCTGTCACTGACCCGCCAGGAAATTAAAAGAATTAATGTGGTTATTTTCCTGATCTATCTATAGATTGCTTTTTTTTATAATGGAATCAGCACAGTTGGTCATAAGAAAGATAACATTTATCTATTTCTTTCTTGAAATACTTGATAAATTCTGCCACTTCACTGTAATTCGTCAATGAAAATAAAGTAGGAATGATTCTATTTGAATTATTTTTTCCTAAATCAAGGCCCCTCAATAATTTTGGTGACGAGGAGATGTTTCTCTCTAGAAAGTTGCTCACTGTGATTGGAGAGCAGAGAGGAATGTTGATAGTGAAGTCATTAGGGTGTGGGAATTGCTGAGGTTCATCTGTTGTGAGGACCGAATGACACATTTAAAGCAGGATTTCTCAATCTCAGCACTACTCACACTTTGGACTGGATAATTCTTTGTTGTGGGGGAGTTGTCCTGTGCACTGTAGGATGTTTAGTAGCATTTCTGACCCCCATTCCCTAGATGTCAGTAGCTCTCCCTCCTCTCAGTTATGACAGTAATAAATATTTCCAAACATTTGTAAATGTCCCTGGAGGACAAAATCACACTAGGTTTAGAATCATTAATTTAAAGCACTTAGCACAGTACCTGGCACAAATCAGGGCTCAATAAATATGAGCTGTTATTTTTGTTCATTTAATCCCCTCTGCAGCTCTGTGAGCTTGGAACTGTTACTAGCTTCATTTTACATATGATACTACTGGGTTTAGCAGGGTTAAACAATTAGCTCAGGGTTAACAATAAGTTAACAGTATTTGGACTTGAACTTAAGTTTCTCTCTTTTTAAAGCCACAGTTTTAAATCCTTATGTTATCAATAGACTTGACGGGGGCACATGCAGCCTGCTCATGGGGAGTGAAGGCATTATATGATATACATCATTGACCTAAAACAGACTGATTGAAAAGGAAGGAAGTCATTTGTAATGGTCACATACTGTATATCAGATTTATTATATTATTTCAGGCCATCACAGACATGTGGCTACCTTTGAAAGATTGCTTCCCCAATTAATAGCTCTTTTCTCAAAAGTCCTGCCTATTGATTCATCTCCTACAAAGTTTTAGTACTTACTGAAAATTAGAATTTAACTGGAAAGCATTCACATAAATACAAGTAATTAGGAAAATTAAAGTTACTGTATCTATGTGTGTTTTTTATTGAAGTCAGAAGAAAATTTCATTTTCCCAACTAATCAATACTTAGAAAAGAAAAAGGAAATTAAGATAATTTATCAAAGAAAGAGCATTCTGCTATATGGTTAATTTTTTTACTGAAATAAATTGTCTAGTAGTGTCATTGGATATTATATGCCTACGTTTTCTTGATTTTCTTTTAAAACTCAAGGTCAAAATATTCCTTGACCATATTAAAAAGCCTTCATCAATAAGCTTTCTTAGTGAATCCTGTACTCAGTAGGTGGAGACTATAATTGGAAAAATAGAAGTAAATTCCTTATACTACAGACTGTCAAGAAATTTATAGGCATGACTTATATCCTTATCATTTTTTAAAGTATTTCTAATCAGGGAAATAAAGGCTGTGTTTATATTTTATATCATGGAGTTATTTTAATGTTAGTAGACAGTATAGGAATTTTATCCTAGATACTCCATGAAACTGTTTTTTAAAAATCTCTCTGTGTTACTCCTTTTTTCGTGAAATAAATTGTCTTAATGGAGCTTTTCTGTCATTTCTTCTTAGTATATGTTTAATAGACCATACAGCAGAAAATTGGAGGCCGAAGCTGACAAAATTGGACTACTGCTTGCTGCAAAGGTAAAGTGTTTAGTAGTTGAGAATACATAATGCCCTTCCCAGGCTGAAAGATAAACGTGTGTTATTTTAATGAGGCTTGGCATAAGCAGAGAATGAGAGTTGGACTGTATTAGCCCTTTATGTAATTTCTGTTAATCTAGAAATTTGAAGATTATGGACCTTGAAAGAATGTATAACTGAAGAGTCTCAATTCCCTTCTATATTTGAAGCTGTATTATGCCTTAGACAGAATCCATAAGATTATAGTAATTATCAGGTTCTATTAAAAGAAAGTCAGTTCTTGATTGGAAATAATTTTTTGCGTGTATAAATTTTTTGATCATAGACATGAAACATACAAATTGAAATTTTAAAACATTTGGTTATGTAATGTGTCATCCCCTCTGGCCTTTTAACATTTGTCCCTCTGGAAAGCTAATGCTATCTCTTTATTTTACTCCAGTACTCCAATATTTTACCCCTTGCTTCTCTGATCTAAGGAGGCTTTTTGAGTAAACAGGTTGATAGGTAGTTGTTTTCCCCCACTTGAAGATAGGTTGATCCTGTTGTAGCTATGATCTTGGCTAAGCAAACTGATTTTCTACCATTTAAATAAACAGTAGACGAACAGACATTTAGGTTATTTTTGTTGTAGCAGATGGCTTTTTTTTTTTTTTTTTGCTAGCCATAGAGAGCAGCTCTGGGCCTTTACTTTTATTTAAGTTGACTTTGTTCCTGTCTACTTAACAGGGCACCTGGCAGCTATTTTTAATCACCTGTGATAACTGAGTGTTATTAGTAGCATTTAAGATTAGAAGTAAAACTGCATTTTAAAAAAATGAGTGAAAGCAATGCCACTTCACATATTAAATTCAAGTTTTAATTGATCCTTTGTTATGTTTCTGGTAGTTATTAAAACTATTAATCATTTTATTTGAACCTCTCATAAGTTTTATGGATTTAATTTCATAAATCAAGGTATTACTCCTTCACAAAAGCAAAATCAGTTCTTTGAATGTTAAATAAATGTGATTAAGTGAATTATCAGACTGCGTGCACTAAGAAGTTCCCACATAAGGGGGCCACAGATTGGCTGTATTAAGAATTTCCTAATTTTCATGTACTCCAGTCTGTCAGATTTTCCCTATATGTTAAGTGTGTTCTGTGTTCTGGTTAGGAAATCTTTGTTTATCTCAGTAAGTTATTCCTGCTTTATTTCTAATAAACTTTACTATTTTTAAAATATATAATATGAGGAAGAGGGCAACATCTTTTTTTTCCCCTATGGATAGCTAATAGACTCAGCACTGTTTATGGAAAAAAGTCACCTTTTTTTCACCAGACTTCAGTGTCTCTTTGTCATAAAGGTGGGAGTATATCTGGGGTCTCTTTCTAGACACACTATTCTGTTCCATTGGCTTGTTTATGTTTCAGCCAGTACCATATTATCACTATAACTTTGTAGTAAGTGTTGATACCTGAAGCTTCTGTCCTCCAGTGTTGTTCTGCAGAATTGATTTGACTCTTCTTGGATCTTTGCATTTCTATATACATTTTAGAAATAGCTTATTAAATTATACATACATAGAAAAACACATGGGGTTTTGATTGGAATTGCATTGCATTTATACATGAATTTGGGGACACTTGACTAGTGTCTGTAGTATTGATTCTTCCCATCCATAAATATGATATATTTTCCAGTTTGTTTAGATGTTTAATTTTTCTCGATGTTTTGAAATTTTTTTGTATGTAGGAATTACACATCTTTTGTTAGATTTATTGCTAAGTGTTTGATGTCATGATAAATAGTGTCATTTTTAAAGTAAATTGCTTGTATATAAAAATACAATTGATTTTATAATTGACCTTGTACCCAGCAACCTTTATTTCTTCCTTTCCAATCTGTATACAGTTGACTCTTGAACAGCATGTTTTTGAGCTGTGTAGATCCACTTATACATAGGATTTTTTTCAATAAATATATTGGAAGGTTTTTTGGAAATGTGCAACAATTTGAAAAAACTCACAGGTGAACCATGTAGCTTAGAAATATTGAAAAAATTAAGAAAAGGATATGTCATGAATGCATAAAATACATGTAGATATTAGTCTTTTATAATTTTTTACCATAAAACACAAATCGGTTATGAAAATTTATCAAAACGTGTGCCTACACAGACCATACATGGTGCCATTTGCAGTTGAGAGAAATGTAAACAAACAGAAAGATGCAGTATTAAATCATAACTGCATAGAATTAACTGTGGTACCTATGGTACTACTCTTATAGTTTTGTATTCACTTCCTGTTGCTAATGCAGTGATCTCAAATATTGTGAATATCTACTTAAAACACCAGAAGACACTAATCATCTCCATGTGAGCAGCTTTCTCTCCAGTAAATTGAGTATCTTAGTAAATGGTCTCTTGCAGTTCTTGCATATTTTTCATTGTGTTTAGTGCAATACTGTAAACACCTTGAGTAATACCATGAGACCCATATGAGTTGCTGCTAGTGATACTGGAAATGTTCCCAGGAAGTAAACTCATGATATTACAAGAAAAAGTTGAGTTGCTTGATATATACTGTAGATTGAGGTCTGCAGCTGTGGTTGCCTGCCATTTCAACATAAACGAATCCAGAATAAGGACCGTTGAAAAAAGGAAAAGAAAATTTGTGAAGTCATAGCTGCAACTCTACCAGCAAGCATGAAAACCTTGCACTTTTTGCAAAAGACTTTTATCTTGTATAGAAGATGCACCTTTTATGTGGGTGCAGGATTGCCATAAGAAAGGCCTATCTATAGACTCTAATATGATTCAAGAAAAAGCAAAGTCATTATATTACAACTTAAAAGGAAGATGAAAGATCTAAAGCTGGAGAATTTAATGCCAGCGAAGGATGGTTTGATAGTTTTAGAGATTTGGCTTAAAAATGTCAAGATAACAGGAGAAGCAGCTTCTGCTGACCAAGAGGCAGCAGATGCATTCCCAGATGCTTTAAGAAAATCGTTAAGGAGAAAGAATAGCTGCCGGAACAGGTTTTTAATGCAGATGAAAGTGTGCTATTCTGGAAAAAAGATAATGCCATAAAGGACATTTATTAATGAGCATCAAGATTTAAGGCAGAAGGGATATGCTAACTCTACTGTTTTGCGGAAATGGAGTTGGATTTGTAAGTACTTTCCTTATCTATAAAGCTGGTAACCCCTGAGCCTCTAAGGAAAAAGATAATACCAGCTGCCAGTCTTTTGGTTGTAAAGCAAAAAGGCCTGCTACACAATGAGAACGCTTTTTCTGGATTGGTTCCATCCATGCTTTGTTCCTAAAGTTAAGAATTATCTTGCCAGTAAAGGCTGCCAGTTCTTTTTTTCTTTTTTTGAGATGGAGTCTCGCTCTGTCACCCAGGCTGGAGTGCAGTGGTGTGATCTCGGCTCACTGCAAGCTCTGCCTCCCAGCTTCACACCATTCTCCTGCCTCAGCCTCCCGAGTAGCTGGAATTACAGGCACCCACCACCATGCCCGGCTAATTTTTTGTGTTTTTAGTAGAGATGGGGTTTCACCGTGTTAGCCAGGATGGTCTCGATCTCCTGACCTCGTGATCCGCCCTCCTTGGCCTCCCAAAGTGCTGGGATTACAGGTGTGAGCCACTGCGCCCGGCCAGGACTGCCAGTTCTTTTTACATTCTCAATTCCTCTGGTCACCTGGAACCCCATGAGTTCAACACTGAAGGCGTCCAAATGGTCTACTTGCCCCCAAACACAACATTCCTAGTTGAGTCTCAGATCAGAGGGCCATAAGGACCTTTAAGGCTCAGTACAACAGGGTACTTTAGGGAAAGGTTGTTACTGCTATTGAAGAGAACCCCGATAGAACATTATGAAAGTCTGTAAGGTTTACACCACTGAAGATTCCATCATTGTTATAGAAAAAGCCATGAAAGCCACCAAGCCTGAAATAATAAATTGTTGATGAAGCAAACTATCCAGATGTTGTGCGTGACCACACAGAGCCAGTCAAGGAAATGATGAAAAGATTATGGATATGGCAAAAAAGGTGGGGAGTGAAGGGTTTCAATATACAGATCTTAGAGAAATTCAAGAGCTAATAGAAACACCTTATCAGGGGAATTAACCGTGGATGACTTGATGGAGATGAGTGCTTCCAAAATGGTGCCAGGTAGAAAAGACATAGTAGTGCCAGAAAACAAATTGACATTAGACAATCTAGCAGAAGGATTCTGATTATTCAAGACTACTTTTGACTTATTTTACAACAGAAATTACAAAGTATCTCCATTAAGTTACACTGATTATGCCTGCCTTTCCTGTCTCCCGTTCTACCTCTGCCACCCCTGGAACTGCAAGACCAACTCTCCTCTTCCTTCTCAGTCTACTCAGTGTGAAGATAAGGATGGAGACATTTATGATGATCCACTTCCACTTAATGAATAGTAAATATATTTTCTCTTCCTTATGGTTTTCTTAATAACATTTTCCTTTCTCTAGCTTATTTTATTGTAAGAATACAGTATATAATACATATAACATACAAAACATGTTAATTTACTGTGTTACTGGCAAGGTCAACAGTAGGCTATTAGTAGTTAGGTTTTGGGGGAGTCAAATGTTACATGTGGATTTTTGACTGCACAGAGGGGTCAGTGCCCTTAACCTCCATGTTGTTCAAGGGTCAACTGTACTTTTTAATTTTTGCTTTATTGCAATAGCCAAAAACTTTAGTACAAAGTTGGTGATGGGCAACTTTGTATCTCCCTGATCTTAGGGGCAAGAAAGCATTCAGTATTTCACCATTATGATGTTTGTTGTAAGCTTTTTATAGATACTTTTTTATCAAATGAAAGAGTTTCTCTTCCATTTCTAATATCCTAAGATTTAAAAAAATTATGTATATATATTAAATTTTATCAAATGCATTTTCTGCACTTTTTCTTCAACTTTAAAGTTCCAGGGTACATGTGCAGATGTGCAGGTTTGTTACATTAATAAATATGTGTCACAGTGGTTTGCTGCACAGATCAACTCATCACCTAGGTATTAAGCCCAGCATCCATTAGCTATTCTTCCTGATGTTCTCCTTCCCCCTGCATTTTCTGCCTGTATTGAGATGATTATATGATTTTTCTCCTTTAATCTGTTATTGGGCAAATTACATTAATTTTTTTTAAAGTTAAGTTGCATTTTTGGGGAAATATACCTAATTTTGTCAATTATCCCTTAATATATTGCTAGAATTGGTTTAATGCTTAGTTTAGAATGTTTATCCTATGTTCAAAGGAGATAGTCGCCTAGAATTTTCTTTTCTTGTAATGTCCTGTCAGGTTTTGGAATCAAAGTTATGCTGGCCTCATAAAATTGATCAGGGAAGTGTTCTTCATTTTCTCTTCTCCAGAAGAGTTTTTGTAAGATTAGCTATATTTATTTTTTAAACGTTTGGAGAATTCCTGGGTAAAGCCATATGGGCCTGAAGATTTCTTCATGAGTTTGTCTTTAATTATGGATTCAGTCTCTTTAATAGATATAGAACTATTCAGATTTTTCTATTTCTTGTTTCAGTTTTTGTAGTTTTTCTAGGAATTTTTGTTTAATTTTCAAAATCATTGGCATGAAGTTGTTTTAATATACTCTTATTATATTTTAATGTCTGAAGGATACCTGTTATTTTACATGTATCTTTTAAATGTCCCCTTTGTTAATATTGGTGCTCTTTGTCTTGTCTTTTTTTTGCTAGATTTTATCACTTTCATCAATCTTTTCAAAACCATCTTTTGGGTTTGCTTATTGTCTCTATTATATAATTGTTTTCTGTTATGTCAGTTACCATTTTTTTTCATTATTTTATTCTGCATTCATTTTTTGGGTTTCATATGTGGTTCTTTCCCTAACTTAAGATGAATACTACTATCATTTATTTTAAACTCTTTTTTTTTTCTAGTACATACATTTAAGGCCGTACATTTTCCTCTGAGAGCATCTTTACTTGTCATGTTGCAAGGGTTGATATGTTATTTTTTCTTCAGTTTAAAATGTATTCTTGTTTTCGCTGTGGTTTCTTCTTTGACCCATGGGTTATTTAGAAGTATATTGCTTAGTTTTTGAACATTTGATGATTTTAAAGTTACCTTTTGTTTTCGATTTCTAGCTTAGTTACACTCTGATTGGATAATATACTGAATGACTGGAATCCTTTGAAAAGGGTTGGGTCTTGCTTTGTGGCTCAGGATGTGATCAATTTTGTCAAAATGACGTGCACTTGAAAGTGGATCCTGCCATTGCGGGTGGTGTTCTGTGGATGTCAGTTTTGCCAAGTGTGTCAATTTTGTTGTTTCAGATCTTCTATATTCTTGCTGATTTTTTTTCCTTTTTTTTGTAGTTATCAAGAGAGGTTTGGTAATATTTCATTATGGTTGTAGATTTTTCTTTTTTCCTTTTAGGGCTATTAATTTTTGCCGTGTACATCTTAAAAGTATCTTTAATATACATACTTGTTAGATTGTTAGATTTTCCTAGTGGATTGGTCCTTTTCTTGCAATAAAATCACTGTCTCTAGTAATACTTCTTGCCTAATGTCCACTTTTTCCTTTTAGTATTGTTATTTCAGCTTTCTTTCAGTTAGTGCTTGCATGGTAAATCTTTAATATTCTGATTTTCAAACCTCCTGTGTTCTTGTGTGTGTAGCCCTTGTAAACAGAACATTGCTGTTGTTTTTATCTTTGCCCTTTTTTGGGGAAAAGTTAGTCTATTTGTTTAATTTGCATTTCTTATTTGTAATTATTTATATAATGTGGAACATTTTTATGTGTCTATTGGCACTTCATTTATATTCCTTTGTGAATTATCTTCTCAGATATTTTTCCCATTTTCAAATTGGGCAAGGAAGTTTGTGTTCTTATTCTTGAGTTGTAGGAGTTTTTCACATAAGTGCTAGGTGCAAGTTCTTTGTCAGATATGTGTCTTGCAAGTGTTTTCTTTCATTCTGTGGCTTGCTCTTTTATTTTTTATTTTTTTCAACGTTTAGGTTCCAGGGTACACGTGCAGGTCTGTTACGTGGGTAAATTGCACGTTGCTAAGATTTGGTGTACAAATGATCCTCTCCCCGAGGTAGTGAGCATGGTACCCAAAAGGTGGTTTTTCAACCCTTGCTCCCCTCCTTCCCCCTTCCCTCTGGTAGTTGCCAGTGTCTGTTGTTCCCATCTTTGTGTCCATGTGTAGTCAATGTTTAGCTCCCCCTTATGAGTGAGAACATGCAATAGGCTAATCACTTAACCTCTGACTGTCCATGTATCAGAATGTGTTTTCCACTACCTATCTTGAAGTTCATTAATCTTATTTTTAGCTGTATTTGTTCTACATTAAATTCGTATTTGAGTTTTAAATTTCAGTTACTTTGTCTTTTCATTCCAGAATATCCCTTTGATGCTCTTTTATAAATTTCACTTCTCTGGTGAAATTCTCCATTTTGTCATATGTTTCTTTGTTTATATTTTCTTGAATATGTTAATCATATATTTTTTTAAAAATTCATGTTTCTTAACTCTAATCTCTGTATTATAGCTGGGTCCGTTTCTGTTGTCTGTTTTTGGCTTTGGTCTTGTTTGTTGGCATCGTTGCTTATTTTTGATTGAATGCTGGATGTTTCATATAAACAGTTCTGTTGGCTCTGAATGATATATTTTTTTTTTCCATCAGAGGTATTCTCTGTGCTAAGTGGTCACTTAGAGCATAGCAGATCTCTTCACTCATTCAGAGCCTGAGGTGAGTTTGCATAGGCTGGGATGATGAGCTCTACTGTAAGATTGTAGGACAGCGATCTAGCTCTTTCTTTGGGGAAGCTTCCCATAGAATATATATTGGCCTTTCCTCTGTGGTCATTCACGTGTCTGCAGATGAATCCTGTAAAAACTGGCTGTTGGATGTACCCCATTTACCCTGATGTGATTACTATACATTTCATGCCTCTATCAAAATATCTCATGTAACCCCTAAATATATAACCTACCAAGTGCCCACAAAAATAAAAAACAAGTAAACTGGTTTGTCAGTGTTTGAGGATTGGCAGTGGAAAAGGGAGTAGGGTTTTCCCATTCATTGTGGAGACTTTTAAAAATTCTCTGTTATGACCCTTATACCTCAACCTTTCTTTCTTGGAAGTCAAATACTAAACCTTTCTGGGGTCTCTGCAGTGTGGGGTAATCAATCAATTGCCAAAGAAGCGAGCAATAAGTGTAGAGATAATGCATGAACTCTGGAACCATACTGCCAAGTTTGAGAATCTGCTTTCCCAGAGAGAGTACTAGCTGTGTGATTATGATCAAGTTATTTATCCTTTTTGTGCCTCAACTTTTCTCATCTGTAGGATAGGAACAGTATTGGACCTATCTCATACACTTAATATAATTAAAATTCTTAGAGCTCGTGTCTTTTAATCATTTATCTTAAAAGGACTGTCTGCTATCTCCTCTTCTTTATTTCACAGATACATTATCTCAAACCCAGTATGTTCAATATTAAATTCTTAATTTCTCCCTACATGTGTTTTTCTTCTGGTCTCCCTTTTCCCAATGAATATACTACCCTCTATTCAGTTGCTTTTGGAAAAAAAACCCTGGAGTCCTCCAGGGTTTATAGATAAAGATATTCGTTCTTTATCATTTACTCTTAATTTTTTCACCAAGTCCTGGCAGTTCTATCTATAAAATATATCTCAGTATGTTCCCATCTCCAGTACTAGCATCTTTTACCTAAACTTCTGTAGCAGGCTCATGATAGCTTTCATTGACTCCAGTCCTACTCCCCTCCATTCCATTCTCCACCCTGCCACAAGTAAGAAACAGATCCAGTAAGCTATGATGATATTCTCTTTTCTTTTTTCTTTTCTTTTCTTCCCTTCTCTTCTCTTCCCTTCCCTTCTCTTCTCTTCTCTTCTCTTCTCTTCTCTTCTCTTCTCTTCTCTTCTCTTCTCTTCTCTTCTCTTCTCTTCTCCTCTCCTCTCTCCTCTCCCCTCTCCCCTCTCCCCTCTCCCCTCTCCCCTCTCCCCTCTCCCCTCTCCCCTCTCCCCTCTCCTCTTTTCTTTCTGACAGAATTTCACTTTTGTTGCCCAGGCTGGAGTGCAATGGCGCGATCTCAGCTCACAGCAACCACCACCTCCTGTGTTCAAGCGATTCTCCTGCCTCAGCCTCCTGAGTAGCTGGGATTACAGGCATGTGCCACCATGCCTAGCTAATTTTGTATTTTTAGTTGAGACGGGGTTTCTCCATGTTGGGCAGGCTGGTCTCGAACTCCCAACCTCAGGTGACCCACCCACTTTGGCCTCCTAAAGTGCTGGGATTACAGGTGTGAGCCACTGTGCCCGGCCTGATACTCACTTTCTTAAGATAAGGCTTTAAGAAGACATTGACCAGAATTTTCCTCCAGACTTTTCCCTTTCTCACCTGACCAATCCCCTACTTTGGATTGACATTTAACATTAATACAATCAGAAGACAGTTTGATCTTACAGACCTAGGTGCTAGCTCTTCTCTGATCCATTATGATGATTTTCATTTATTAATTGAATGTAATTAACTTCCAGATTATAGGGATACATAATATCTTCATGACATTAGAATTCAAGAGACAGAAATTTAATAAATAATTTTAACAAAGTTTGAAGTATTATGAATTGGAGATACAGGAAACATTCATTCCATGGGAGAATGTAGCAGAGATGTAACTTGAGGGATCTCTCAAGTTACATCAAATTACATAGGAAAACTTAGTCTTGGGATTAGACTGAGAAAGAAATAGATAAAATGGAGATCTGAAAGATAAATAGTAATTATCCTGATGAAGATGTTGATAGGTGTAGTGTTTGGCATGGTGTGTTCAAAGGCAAGAGAAACAATGGCTTATTCCAGGAATTGAAAATTTGTTGTGGTTAAAATGTCAACAGAATTCAAGAGCACCAATGGCAACAGATAAAACTGAAGGATAGGCAGAAACTTCTTTATTAGCAATTTTAAGGATTTTACACCTTGTCTAGCATAGGGGTCAGGACTTTGGGTTCAGTAGTCCAGATGTGTGTTTGAGCTCTTGTCTCCTCCACATGACTGTAGCAAATCACTTAACCTCTTCAAATCTGTTTTGTAGTCTGACTAGTGAGAATCATGATAGTACTTCCATCAAAGAGTTATTTTGGGTATCCTGGACTTGATTCTTATTTGTGGCTTGTATCCTTTTTTTGGACCTTGATGCATCAGACTCCCTTGACTTCTTGCCATTGTAGCATTCAAATCATGTCAACATAATCCTCCTTTTCCTAATTCTCTCCTTCCTAGGCAACCTTCTGATTACAGCCTGGCTTCCTCTGTAGCATGCCTAAAAGGGAGAGAAAGTCCTGACCCAAGGACATAGATGCATGTGCTCTTGCTGGTTTGGGCAGCTGTAGTTATCTCTGTAAATTAAGAAGTTGGCATTCTGATTTTATGTCAATCTTGTGAGCTTGGTTACTGGGAACTATTTCTGAGAGATGGTTCTATTGGTCATATGCAGTCCCATTGGATTTATGAGGTTTCAACGTGCAAAATTCACAAAAACGATGTTACTCATGAAGCCTCTTTCAAAGTAGGCAGCCCACTTTCCCTAGGGTTCTCTGCTGCTCCTCTGCTACTGGCTATGAGTGATTTTATTGTGCAAATTTATGTTTTTATAGGAGTTCTTTTAATTTTTCATTTGGAAGGCATTTGTCGTTATATAAATTATCAGAATGATTAATATAGAATTAATAATCACTGGTAAGACCAACATGTAAATTAAGCATAGAATAACAAGCTGTTCAGTCTTCAGCTGACAAAAGAGGTCCTGTTAAGTATTTGATCTTTTGGGGTATGAATATTCATTTGTCACTGTAAAGAGCTTTTGACACTTTGCAGTCATTATAGAAATGACTTTTTAAAAATTTCACAAGCAACTAAACTATCAGTTTTAATTTTTTCGTAACAGTTTCTTAAGTTTGGAAAAGAAAACTGATATTCTTTTAGTGGTTCTGAACTGGGCTAGCCTTCTAGGATGACATGGTGTATGATTGTTTTTGATTGTCATAGTTATTGGGGAAGTGGGGGGAATTATTGATGTTTAATGTGAGGGAAAAGGGGATAATAAATATCCTATAGTGGCCTGGAAAGCACTCACTGGGAGTAATCCCCAAAGCCTGTTAAGTGGCCCTTTTGGGAAACGTGGCCTGCTAGTTTCCTCAAGTAACCTGAGATAACTGTGCCAATAGCACCATCTAGTGAGGGCATTAGGTAATAAGCAAAATCTATTTTTCATCACAGAAATGAGAAAATTTCAAATTCTAAACTTTATTTAAAATAGTACCTTGTAGAATCATAGACTTTTAGAGCAGGAAAGAAAATTGGAGCTAATTTAATCTACCTTCTCATTTTACAGATAAGAAAACCAGAGTCTAAAGATGTAAAGTGATTTATCTAATAACCTATACCTAGTTAGTAGGAAGACCCTTAGTTCTTATTTTTCAGGTTAGTATTCTGAGCTTTCATCACAGCAAAGTATCTTTGCGTTTTATTTGGGTTACTGTTTTAGGTTCTTTGCTTAATGATTCTTTTAAGAAAGAAAAGAATCAGTAAGTAAGGAGACCATCTTATTTAATAGGTATGTTGTAAAGTAACTTTCATAATGCATACATTATTTGGAACTTAATTTTATCACCCAGAAAAATGAGACAGGCTTGTGTGTATTCATCTGATTTTTCATTGCTATGATTTCAGCTGTTGAGTCTTATGATAAAACTTTACCTAAGATAGAGGGAAAAAAGTAACATGAAAATTTATTAAAACTTAATTTATTATATTGATTGGTGAAATGACCTGCTGGCAATCAAAAGATGCAGAAAATTGAGCAAAAAATTAAGATTAAATGACCAACATATGTCTTTCATTTTTATGTTGGAGCACATGAAGTATTTTTGATAAGTTTTCTCTTGGTGTGAGGGATTGGCAAATGCTGAGAATGGCTTAGCTGAAATTATCTCAAGATTATGTTGCATTTAGTTGGAAAAGAGCAATTTTAAATTATTTCCTGGAAAAATGTTGTTTAGAGAATAAGTGGGTTACAAAATAAAATGAGCTTTAAGAAGTGATGCCATCAGCAATATTGGAAAATGATGAACCTGTGGAGGTATGTGAGACTGAAATGAACTAGTTTCTGGTAGATGATGACAATGATGATTGTAGTGTATAATAATCAATAACATTTTTAATGTGCTGGGCACTGTCCTGAGTGTATTACATGTATTTATTCTTTTGATCTTCATAACAACCCTGTGAGGTATAGGTAAACCTGAGGGATGGAGGAGTTAAGTAACTTGGCAAAGCTCTCATAGACAGTAAGGTTTCCCTCTCCCAAAGTGGAGGTACATTCATTTCTGAAAGGGAACTTTCCATCTTATATTTGCCTGCTGGAAACAATTTTGGTTTTCTGCAGTATTGCTTCTAAAATAATGATCATTTTTATATCTGTTTTGGTCCCTTTACATCTTATAACAGCCTCAGTGTATTTTTCTAGCTGTAGGAGCCCAGCTCCCCCTGCCACAATCCTTTGTAGTATTGTCTCAGATGATTATTTTACCTATCACATGTCTATGTGGAATACAGGAGAGGATGCTACAATGACTGGGACAAGTGTAGGGTGTTAATGGTTTCCTAAAAAAAGATTCAGATTCATTCAGTGTCAGGATTTACCTTTGGAAGGGGGTGATGGCTAACAGGAGCTTTGTTGGAGTGTCTAGTGAATACAGACAGCAAAATTCAGAGATACTTTTCATCTTTGCATTTCTAATGAAAACGTTGGCTACAGGTAACGGTACAGTTAGGCTTTTACTTGGTCTAGATCTATTTATACATATTTCTCTAGTATTGTTTTGGCATTGGGAAATGGTGAAATTATAAGAACAATTTTTATACTGCTGTATTCTTTATGAATATCATATCCCACTGAATTTATAATTTAATAGTAGCAAATTCTTTCTCAATATGTTCCTTAATGCATATTCATATACATTTATATTCTCTGGATTGTACTAGAACCTTCTTGTAAATTCATGACATCATCACTTAGGACCAAACATAGCATTTTGCAATTACCATAGGCCTCCAGTTGCTCACCAGGGGAAAGGAAGGTAGAAATAGTGTCCACTATGTTCTGAGTCCTGGAATGGCTGCTTTGCAAGAATTATCACATTTTAACTTGACAATTCACTGCTTTAATTTAGTTTTACAGATGCATCTGAGACTCCTAGAGACTAAATTATTGACCCAGGGGCAAAAACTCTGTCACCAGACTACTTGTGTTCAAATTATGGCTCTGTCACTTACTAGCTGTTTGAGCTTTGTCAAGTTATGTAGTCACCATGGATCTTGGTTTCTTCATCTAATCTGTAAAGTGAGGGTCATAACAGTACTTACCACATGAAGTTGTTATGAGGATTAAATGAGTTAATATAATGTGTTAATATTTGTAATACACTTAAAACAATGCCTGGCATGTGGTGTCATATAAGTGACTGTTAATAAATAAAATAATCAGTATTTTGAACCCAGATATTTCTGATTCTAAAACCTGTAGTCTCTCCATTATCTTAGTTTACAGTCTCAAAAAATATTCTAGGACCAAAGTATTTCACTGACACATATTTTCTTATGTTTCTCTGGCCAGCGGTAGCCATTATTAGTTCTGTTTTTAAGAAGGAAAGGTTACCTAGAGTCTAATTCTTTCTTCGTGTACTTACAGTTGCTTAATAAGTTATTTAGTTCAGTTCAATAATTTTATTGAAGCAATGAGTTAGACTGAATTAGTTGCTGTATTAGTCCATTTTCACAGTGCTGTAAAGAAATACCCAAGACTGGGTAATTTATAAAGGAAAGAGGTTTAATTGACTCACAGTTCTCCATGGCTGGGGAGGCCTCAGGAAACTTATAATCATGGTGGAAGGGGAAGCAGGTATGTCTTACATAGCAGAAGAGAGGAAGAGTGTGTAAGAGCAGGGAAAACTGCCTTTTAAAACCATCAGATCCCATGAGAACTCACTCAGTATCACGAGAACAGCATGGGGGAACTGCTGTCATGATCCAGTCACCTCCTACCAAGTCCCTCCCTCGACACATGGGGATTACAGTTTGGATGACAGTTGTTGACGAGATTTGGGTGGGGACACAGCCAAACCATATCAGTTGCTTAATAAGTTCTTAGTTTTCTATAATACTTTTCTTGAAGCAAAAGAATTAGACTTGTGATAAACTGAGTATTTATTTTAAAAATGCCTTTATTTTGGTCTATCGTTACTTTTTTTCTCTTTTTTAGTAAGTACATTTAACATGAGATCTACCCTCTTAAATTTATAATTTTACAACACATACTTAACTATAGGCACATGCTGTATATCAGATCTCTAGATCTTATTCATTTTGCAGAACTGAGACTTTATATCCATTGAATAGCAACTCCTCATTTCCTCCTACTTCCACTCCCTGACAAACACTATTCTATTCTCTACTTCTACAAGCTTGCTACTTTAGATACATACCACATGTAAGTGGAATCGTCTCGTATTTGTCCATTTGTGACTGGCTTATTTCACTTAGCTTAATGTCCTCAAGGTTTATCCGTATTGTTGCATATGACAGGATTTCCTTTTTTAAGGCCAAATAATATTTTGATGTATGTTTATACCACATTTTCTTAATCTGTTCATTCGCTGATGAACATTCAGGTTGTTTCCACATCTTGGCTATTGTGAATAATGCTGCAATGAATGTGGAGTGCAAATCCCTTTGAGATCCTGATTTCAACTCTTGGATAAATATCCAGAAGTAGGATTTCTGAATCATAATGATAGTACTTTTTAAAAATTTTTTGAGTAATCTTCATATTGTTTTTCATAAAGTCCACACCATTTTATGTTCTCACTGACAGTGTACAAGAGTTCCAGTTTCTTCACATCCTTGCCAACACTTAGATGTCTCTTTTTTTCAATGATAGATAACCTAACAGGTGTAAGGTAATATTTCATTGTGATTCCAGTTTGCATTGCCCTGATGATTAGTGATATTGAACATTTTTTCTAATACTTGTTACCTACTTTTGAATGTCTTTTTTGAAGAAATGTCTATTGAGATCCTTTGCCTATTTTTTAAATTGGGTTTTTTGCTATTGAGTTGTAGAAATTCTTTATATATTTTAGAAATTAACTGTTTATCAGTTATTTGGTATACAAATGGTTTTTCCCATTCTGTAGATTGCCTTTCACTCTGTTTCCTTAGCTGTGCAGAGCTTTTTGGTAGTTCCACCTGTCTATTTTTGCCTTTTGTTTCCCGTGCTTTTGGTGTCATATTCACAAAATCATTGCCAAGACCAAAGTCATGAAACTTTTCCCTTATATTTTCTTCTAGGAGTTTTATAGTTTTAGGTCTTACGTTTAAATCTTTAATCCATTTTTAGTTGGTTTTTGTGTGTAGCGTAAGATAAGGGTCCAGTTTCATTCTTTTGCATGTGAATATTCAGTTTTTCTAGCACCATTTGTTGAAGAGACTGCTCTTTCCTCATTGTGGGGTTTGTGTGTGTGTGTGTGTTCGTTTTTGAGACAGGGTCTTGCTCTGTTACCCAGGCTAGAGTGCAGTGATGTGATCACAGCTTACTCTAGCCTCGACTTCCCAGGCTCAGGTGATCCTCCCACCTCAGCCTCTTGGTGCACAGGTGTGTACCATCACACCTGCCTAATTTTTTGTAGAGATGGTTTCACCATGTTGCCCAGGTTGGTCTTGGACTCCTGGTCTCAAGCAATCCATGTGCCTCAGCCTCCCAAACTGCTGGGATCACAGATATGAACCACCATACCTGGCCTCCCATTGTATATTTTTGGTACCCTCATCAAAGATCTGTATTTGTGTGGGCTTAATTTTGGGCTCTCTCTTCTGTTCCATTCATTTAACGGTTATCTTTCTGCTAATACTATACTGTTTTAATTACTGTAGCTTTGTAATATATTTTGAAATCAGGAAGCATGATGCCTCTAGTCTTACTCTTTTTCAAGATTGCTTTGGCGATTTGGGGTTAGTTGTGGTTCCATGTGAATTTTAGGATCGTTTTTTCTGTTTCTATAAGAAAAGTGCCAATGGGATTTTCATAGAGATCTCATTGAATCTGTAGATCACCTTGGGTGGTATGGATATTTTAACGATATTAAGTCTTACAATCCATGAACATGGGATGTCTTTCCATTTATTTGAGTTGTCTTTAATTTCTTTCATCAGTTTTTTTTTAGATACTTTTTAGTGTAGAAGGCTTTCACCTCCTTAGTTTGGTTTAATAAGTATTTTATTCTTTTTAATTTTCCTGTAAGTGGAATTGTTTCTTAATTTCCTGTTTGGATAGTTTGTTGTTAGTGTGTAGAACATAACTGACTTTTGTATGCTGATTTTTGTATACTAACTTTACTGAATTTATTTATTAGTTCTAGCAGGGTTTTTTTTTGTGTGTGTGGAGTCTTTAGTTTTCTACTTATAAGATCATATCATCTGCAAATCATTTTACTTCTTTCTTTCTGATTTAAATGCCTTTTATTTCTTTCTCTTGCCTCATTGCCCTGGCTAGGACTCCCAGTGCTGTATTGAAGAGAAGTGGCAAGATTGGTCATTCTTGCCTTGTTCCTAGACTTAGAGGAAAAAATTTTTGTTTTTCACCATGAAGTGTGATGCTAGTTGTGGGCTTTTCATATATAGCTATAATTATGTCGAGATAATTTTTTTCTATTTCTAGTGTTTGAGAGTTTTTATTATGAAAGGATGTTTAATTTTGTCAAGTGCTTTTTCTGCATCTATTGAGATGATCATGTGTTTTTTTATTCTGTTAATGTGGTATATCACATTAATTGATTTTTGTGTGTTGAACCATTCTTGATTACCAGGAAGAAATCCTCCTTGGTCATGAGGTGTGATCCTTTTAATATGATCTTGAATTTGGCTTGCTAGTATTTTGTTAAGAATTTTTGTATTTATGTTCATCAGGGATATTGGCCCGTAATTTTTTTTTGTAGTGTCTTTGGCATAGGTATCAGGGTAATGGCTGGCCTCATAAAATGAGTTTGGAAGTGTTTTCTCCTCCTCAATTTTTTGGAAGACTTTGAGAGTCATTGACATTAATTCTTTAAATGTTTTTGGTGGCATTCACCAGTGAGGTCATCTGGTTCTGGGCTTTTCTTTGTTGGGAGGTTTTTTATAATTGACTCAATCTCATTAGTTATAGATTTGTTCATATTTCCTATTTCTTTTTCAGTCTTAGTGGGTTGTATATTTCTTGGAGTTTATCCATTTCTTCTAGGTTATCCAGTTTGTGGGCATATAATTGTTCAGAGTAGTCTCTTATGATCCTTTGTATGGTATCAGTTACAATGGTATGCTGTAATGTGTCCTCTTTTGTTTCTGATTTTGTTCACTTAAGTCTTTTTTTTTCTTACTCTAACGACTTGTCAGTTTTGTAAATCTTTCCCCAAAAAGCTCTTAGTTTTAATTTTTTTCTATTTTTTTATTCTCTGTTTTCTTTATTTATGCTCTAATCTTTATTATTTCCCTCCTTCTGTAAACTTTGGGCTTAGTCCTTTTTTTTTTTTCTTTTTTGGTAGATCTTACAGGTATAAAGTTAGTTTATTTGCTTGCTTTCTTCTTTTTTTTTTTAATGTAGGTGTTTATCATTATAAACCATCCTCTTAGAACTGCCTTTGCTGTATCCCATCAGTTTTGTTATATTGTGTTTTCATTTTCATTTGTCTCAAAATCATTTTCTTTTTGGTTTTTTTTTCCTTGACCCATAGGCTGTTCAGGAGTATGTTGTTTAGGAGTGTGCTTCAGAATTTCTGTTTAGTACTTTTTTACATTTTCTGTGTCTTTGTTGAAATTCTCACTTTGTTCGTACATTGTTCTGACCTCTTTGAGTGTCTTTATGATGGTTATTTTGAATTCTCTTGTTAGATAAGTAATATATTTCTCTTTCATTAGGGTCAGTTTCTGAAGATTTATCTTCATCCTTTGGTACATATTTCTCTGTTTATTTTTTTCACTCTTATTGTTGATATCTACACATTAGGAAAAAACAGCAACCTCTTAGCCTTTACAGACTGTCTTTGTACAGGAGAAGATCTTCACCAGTCAGCACAGCAGAGATTCCCAGAACCTCTCAAACCTTCATGCTAGTCCAAAGTGCTGTCTTTGTTCTTAGTGGTGCCTAGGTGTCTAGGGTCCTGTCTGGTCCATCTGGTCCATATGCTGGGTCCTATCAGTGCTACAAGACAGATGAGACAGAAGCCAGTCCCTTGGACAGCCCTCAGAAATGTTAGAATGTTGGACACGTGATCTACCTCTTTCCCGAGCCCTGCCCCAGGAGAAGCTGGGCTCTGGAGTTTCTCTCCAACTCATTTCATGCTGAGCTTCAGGGAGTGGTCATGGCAACTGCTTGTGTGCTTGTTCAAACTTCTGTCACATTATCACTGGCCCCTAGATATCTAGGGCGTTTTAGATTCCATCAGTGCTACAAGGCTGGCAAGACAGAAGCCAGTTCCTAGGGCAGCTCTTAGAAAAGTTGGAATGTTAGATACACAAGCCAAGTTTTTCCTTCCCCAAGGAGTGGTGGGGAGCTGCAGGTGTTCTTATGATCATATGGTGCTGTATTGGGGGTACATAATTGCTCTCGCAGATTATGGCAAGAGGGTGTCTCCAGTCTTCTACCAGGTTTGATGTTGTTCATTTCGTACTTGTGCAGGTGCAGAAGCATTGCACCTAGTTTCAGGATTTCTCACAAAGGGAATTCGTATATTATCGTTGAATCAGTGTGTTCATGTGGGGAAGGAGGGTTTAGGGCGTCCTATTCTTCCATCTTGCTGATGTCAACCTGTTACTTATTTTTCCTAAATTGGAAAAATGTAAATAAAATACTCATTTTGGAAACAAAATTATCTGACTTTAGTGGCTCTTTGAACTGGGTTTGAGAAGTACAGACAAACTCAACACTCTTATCTTAACATTAAAGTAGATATCTCAAGTCCCCTTTTAATACTTTTAGCTTGGAATACTTTCTAGTCTGTAGGGATAATTAATTTCTTTTTCTATTTCTGCATATCAAATATTGCTTTAAAGATTCCCTTCAGCTGTGTTACTTAGAGATTGAATAGGGAAATATTTTGTCTTTTGATTAACAGTTTTAGGCTAAAAAAATTAGATAAGTATGCCTTTGGTTTGTGTAGCAGACAAACTTCATGTTAGATAATTCGTGAATTTGTAGTCCATTCAAATGTTTATCTTCCAGTTTTCAGAGGGGTTTTTTGTTTGTGTTAGAATTCTTTCAAGTCATTTTATATTTTTATGAATTATTTGAGAAGAATACTTGTTAATCTCAGCCTGTATTTTTATTGTGAATGTGATTACCTATTATTGAGGGGCATAGTCCTCTGGGTGTTTCTAATTCAGCATCAAATAATTATTTCTTTATAGATACATATGTTACATACATATTTTACACATAAGCACACACACATCTTGCATATATAGATATGTATTTATATGTGTATAAACATGAATAATATTTATGTTTGTTATATACATTTATCTTGTATATTCCTGTTTATATACATATAAACATGTATATCCATATCTGTGCAGTAGTGTATAAAGTACCTTGAATTCTTTTCAACTTAGAATACTCAGAGGTCTTAAGGAATTATATTTCTTTAAATATTGAATAAGATTTACTTGAATTTAAAATTTTTTATTTTGCTAACATTTGGAAATGCTTTAATGGTATTTGTTAAGAAATGATGTAGCATGGTTGTTGACTAGCATGCAGTGTTCTATTAATATATTTGCCTTTTGGGGTTTCACAATTACACTATTATAAATCTTTTTGAGAGTACATTTTAGTCAGTATAGTATATATATTTTTTCTTAGTTTTAATCAAAAATAAAATCATTGGGAAATATAACCACTTGTTTTCCAGTTACTTATTATAGAAAGAATAAGTTAAGAAATGTGAATAAATTGAACAAATTAATAAAATATTTGTTAATAATCCACCTTATGGAGGATTTAAAAATAATTTTAATTATAAAATAATGTATTTTAATATAGTTCAGAAATAAAAGTGTTGCTCCCTCTCCACTATCAGATACCTCAGGTACATTCTTAGGGTAGTTAACAGCTTCTTAAATAGCTTCTCAGATATGTTCTGTGCATATACAAGTATATACGTATGAGTATGTATATGAGTGTATGATGGAATTGTACATACACAAGATCTACATATATTCTTTTAAAAAGTACTAATGTACTTTTATATTGTACTTTTATAAGGTATTGTGTTTTATAAGGTATATGAATTAAATATATTGTCCATATACATTGAGAAAATTGGGTAAATTGATGTGCATAATAAACATGTCATCTCTTTATGTTTATTTGAAGTTTTTTTCTGATTGTTCTAGTGGCATAGAAGTAAAGTTTCTTTAATACAGTTTAATAACATTATATTTTAAAACTTTATGAAAACAGAATTTTTAATTTGTGTAAAAGATTTTACCCTTAATACATGTTCTTAATATCCATCATACTGAAAATAGTGGGCTATCTTTGGTTAGCAGGGTTATTGTGAATGTTGTATATGGGAAGGGCAGGCATTCTGTTATTTCAGTACTGTGATACCATGTTGTTTGAGGTGGGTCTTTTTCTAAGCAATGGGCATGTTCTACTTTTATTAAAGTGATGATAGAAAATGACTTTAAAGCATGTAGTGACATAAAGTTGTTAGGAGATATAACTAATGCTAAATGACGAGTTAATGGGTACAGCACACCAACATGGCACATGTATACGTATGTAACAAACCTGCACGTTGTGCACATGTACCCTAAAACTTAAAGTATAATTATAATAGAATTAAAAAAAAATAAAGTAGTAGTTTTTAAAAAATCCTCAAAACTGAGCTCATTGTGTGGTTTTACTAATTTTGGTTTTAGGCTTGTGCAGACATAAGAGCCAGTTCAGTGTTTTGGCAGCAAATGGAGTTCGTTGATAGCCTGCATGGCCAACCCAAGATGCCAGAATGGTTATCTACACACCCTTCTCATGGCAATCGAGTTGAGTACTTGGATAGACTTATACCTCAGGTGAGCTGACACCGTAGAAGGCGGGACATTATTTTTACTGTATCATTTATTTTTAATGCTGTCACTTCTTTTGCTTAGTAAAAGAGAGTTCTAGCCTATTAACTATTTTGATTACTATAATTATGGATTATCAGTTGTCACAGAATTTGACTGAAAAGCAAAATTCTGCTTGTCCACAAGTCTTGGAGAATAAATTACTATGTACAGTTGACTTTTCTTAATAGTGAAGGTTTAACTCCTTTAGTATGAGACTTTAATTTTAACTGACTTGATGAAAGTTTAAAACTCAAGGCATATTAAGTTTTTTAAACATGTTGATGATAATTTAATCTTTCCTTGGTGATTTAAGCTTTTTGTTAAAAATACCAGTTAATGAGTTGTACAGAAGTTTTGGGTCAAGTGGATATTAATTGTAGTAGTGGTACTGGAATTTGTTTTTTTAGGAAAAAAAATCTTCATGTTTGTTTCTGGTTATTTATTTCTTTATGAAGATAAGAGTGAAGCATTTGCTCTCTGGCTTTTCTTTCTGTAGAATTCATAAGTGGGTCAAGCTGAGGCGGCTTTCTGCCAAGTAGTTTTCAGTATCCTCTGAAAATCTTTTGATTTGTTGACATCATTCAGAATGTTTTTATGGTTTCCATATCAGGACAAAATGGATGTTAGGCATCTCTGAGCCACGTTACACGCTCTCTTCTATCTCACTTGTATTAAATTTGGTGGCTTGTTATGAAAGCGGAACATTTTTTAGCAATTTAAGAATTGGTACTGGGCCATGTGCTAAGGCATAGCACAACAGATCCAGGTGTATTATAGAAGTATCTTTCTCATGCCTGTTATCCCAGCATTTTGGGAGGCTGAGGTGGGTGGATCACCTGAGGTCAGGAGTTCGAGACCAGCCTGGCCAACGGGGTGAAACCCTGTCTCTACTGAAAATACAAAATTAGGCGGGCGTGGTGGCATGCGCCTGTAATCCCAGCTACTCGGGAGATTGAGGCAGGGGAATCGCTTGAACCCTGGAGGCAGAAGTTGTAGTGAGCCGAGATCGTGCCACTGCACTCTAGTCAGCGACAGGGTGAGACTCTGTCTCAAAAAAAAAAAAGAAGTATCTTTCAGTATGACTTCAAATTCAGCCCAACAAATACGGAGTACCTCTTAAAAGAAAGAAATGATGCTAGATGTGGGGGATACAAAGAGGAATAAGATATGGTTCTTGATATTTACAGGATGCTAAGATAAATAAAAAATGATTATTAGTACAAGGATATGATTTATCATAAGAAAAATAAAAACGGTATGCAGTTTGAAGGAAGATGAATCTGCTTCTAGTTTGGGATAAGAAACTCTAGTGCAAGATTTATTCATTCATTAGGTAGATCGATATTTATTGATACTTATTGATTAATCTACTATTCTGTGTTCTATTGCTGGGGAATGAGCAAGGAACAAAACAGTCTGTTTTCTTGGAGTTAACATTCTAGTTAGGTAATGCAAATAAGAAACAAACATATAGTATGCCAAGCAATAATAAGTACCTTGGGAAAAAATAAAGCAGATTAAAGGTATTAGAGAGGGGTGGGCAGCAGAGAAGGGGTACTAGTCTATGTTCGGTTGTCAAGGAAGGCCTCACTAATCAGAATCCGGAAGGAAGCACGGGAGCAAGTCCTTTAGCTGTGTGGAGGGAGAGAGAGCCTTTTAGGCTGAGGAAGCAGCTGATGCAGAGAACCTAAAGTCAGCGTATGTTTGATGTGTTCAAGGAATAGCAAGGAAGACATTGGGGCTGAATGGAGTAAGGGAAGGGAAGAACAGTTCAAGATGAGGTGAAAGGGGACCAGACCACGCAGGATCTTCTAAGCCATTGTAAGGACTTGACTTTCACTTCAAGTGATAGGAGAAGCTAGTTGAGGATATTGAGCAGAGGAGTGACTTGATTTGACTCATGTTTTATTGTGATCACTGGCATTATTGTGTGGAGTAGACTAGTGGGGCAACGGTGGAGTCAGGGAGACTTTTTAGGAGACTCTCATAATCCTGGTAGGAGATGATGGTGGCTTGGACCAAGATATCTGGTAGCAGAAAATGGGGAAAGAATCAGTCAGATTCTGGATATATTTTGAAAGGAGTGATGACAGGATTTGTTGGTAATTTAGGCATACTTCGTGCCTTTTGTGAGCATTGAGGACAGCCAAGCATGGCTTCTTAACACCTATTTTAGTTTGTTCAGGTTGCAATAATAAAAATACCATAGACTGGGTGGCTTATAAACAACAGAAACTTACTTCTCACAGTTTGGAAGGCTGTGAAATCTTAGATCCAATTTCCAACAGATTTGGTGTCTGGTGAGGGCCCACTTCCCAGCTCATAAACAGCCATCTTCTCCTTGTAACCTCACATGGTAGAAGGGGCAAGGGAGCTCTCAAAAGCCTCTTTTATAAAAGGGTGCTAACCCATTCATGAGGGCTCCACCCTTATGACAATCGCCTCCCAAAGGCGCTTACCTCCTGATACCATCACATTGGGAGTTGGAATTTCAACATATAAATTTTGACAGGACACAGACATTCACTCTATATCAGCAGCTATCTTAACTAGATTTCATTTGTATTCTTAATTTGAAAAAAAAATTTGAGAAAGAAATAGCAGTGAAATTTACCTGATATAATATGTAGTAATTATTCCTCTTAAAAGGGTAGTATAGGCATGGGACATTATGTATTTCTTCAGTAACTGACTTGTACTGAGGATCACTGACTATAAGAGGGTCCTTTGTGCTATCCAAGGCCCCTGGGACTTTATCGCACCCTGGGAGGCCTGGGCCTGTCTCTAAAGCAATGATAACAATATGATTTTCTCTTGAATTTTTTTTCTTTTTATTTTCGCTCAATGAAATTCTAAAAATATGTGGTTTGTTTAATTGGATAATAAATTCTGTTAGCCAACTTTTCATGTGAAGACTCCTAAATTCTGAGTTGTCATTTCATCATCAAATTACTGAGCATCTTCGGAGAGGTAAAAACTGTGCTTTAGAGATGTCTTTAAAATAATAATGAATTGATTAGTGAGTAGGAAGAAAAATGGCTAGAGAAACAAATTTTATTTGGGAGCAAATGATGAAGACAAAGACGTGAGACATTTTTCTTCTAAAAATAAACTATCCTAGTTCAGAAACTTAATTTGAAAACCTCATATAATTTCTTATATTCCCCACCCCAAGTGATTAAATTCAATTTGAAAGTAATAAAACTCTATTGCAATATTGGGAATAACTCAGTGGTTGAAGTGAAACTGATAGTACAAGGGTATATTGTTAATTAGAATATACAGTCATAACTCAAAGATTGGAATTCCCTATTATTGTAGTCTAATTTCTGACATATAATGAAAGAAGGCAGTTTCTCAGGCAGTATATAGAATTATGTGAGTCTGTATACTACTACTACATTTTGAAATTATATTTTATGTAGCATGCTCTAGTGAGTATGTTATGTTCTACCTAAGGTTCCTGTCCTTTGACATCTCTAGCAGTATGGTGAAGTTATGTTCCCCTCAAAGGCAGTTGAGAATACAGCACTAGAGAGCACAGACAAATCCAGGCCAGAGATGAAGATTTCAGAGTTTCAGAGTCATCTAAAAAGAAGTGATAGTTGAAGCAATGAGAATGGATGAGTTCACGTAGGAAGTGATTAGAGAAAAAGATCAAAGTAACAGTATTGCATATTTTCCACATTTAATGGGTGGGAGGAAGACAGAGCCTGTGTTGGATCAGATTCATAGGAAATCAAGAAAGCAAATAGGAAACCAAGAAAGCAGGATTCTGTGGGTCTGTGATTAGAACACAAATTTTGATCATTTTGATTTTTAAACTTTAGCTTATTGAAGATTGTATATTTTTATTTCTTATTGGATCCCTTGCATATCATCACAAAAATGTATTGTTTCTTACTGTAGCTTATCAACTTTTAAAATGTTTTAAATTTACACTTTATGCATTCAACAAGTATTTATCAGTCATCTGTTATATGCCAGGTTGTAGGTGATGTGAAATAAATAGACAAAAATCCCTGTCCTCATGAAGCTTATTCTGCAGTAAAGGGAGACAGATAATAAATTTGGTGCTGGGGGCGGGAGTGGGGGGCAGTGAGGAGGGAGAGGCAGCTCTCTTATGTCTCTTTTTATAAAGCTACTAATCCTATTCGATCAGGGCCCCACCCTTCAGACCTCATTAAACCTTAGTTACCTCCTTTTAGGCCTTATTTCCAAATACAGTTACACTGGAGGTTGGGACTTCAAAATATGAATTTTAGAGGAACACATGAGTCCTTAGCACACAGTTATGTGTGAGCAGAGATGGGAGGGGTGCAGGAATAGCAGTGTAAAATGGGGTCCTTCAGCAGTCAAAGAAGGTTTCATTGAGAAGCTGACACTTGAACACAGATTTGAAATAAGTGAAGGAACCAGGCTTGTGGCTGTCTTGGGGAAGAGTACAAGGCTGTGGGGCAGGAGCAACAAGAAGAAAACCAGTGTGGGTGGAATGGGGTGAGCAAGGGAAGGGGGAGGGCGTGGGCCTTATCGCCCCTGTAAGGACTTTGGCTTTTGTTCACAGAGATGGGACAATAGTGGAGGGATTTGAGCAGAGGACTGGAGGAGTGACAAGGTCACTTATGTTTGAAAATGATGTGATCTACAGCTCCTGCAAAACAGTACCATAATATAATTTTGGATCATTTTAGCATAATATATTGTTCAGAAAATAGATGAGTTCCTTTCTTGCTTTAAGTCAAGATAACCCATCACATTAGAAAAAAAAGCAAACCTTTGCTTTTTTAAATGTGAATTTCAAGATAAAACATGTATAAATTGCCTAAATATAATCTTGTGATCCATTAGCATTTAAAAAGGATAAATACAGGTTTGTAGCAATATTACTTGTAGTTAATAAGCTGATATGTTATAATTCTATTTACTTGAAATAATCAGTTAAACACATATTCCACATATTTTGGTTATCATAACAACTTGGGTGAAAAAATGAAGAGCAGATGTTGTATCAATTTGTTGATGTTTAATAGTATGACAGTTTTAAAATTATAGTTACACTGTTCAGACTTTATGTATATTATAATTTGTCGTTGAAAGAGACACCTTATTTAACTTTTTTCTATGAAGATTGTTATAAAATATGAATAGATGTGAATAAGAGAAATCTGCTTCAAAGATTTATTTTAAAACTGAAAACATTTAGACTGAATTTCTTATTCTCCACTTCACTTACCAACCCTGTTTCTCTCCACCATCCCCTCTTTGTTGGGTGAAGGGTATGGAGAATGATAGAATGTATAGGAAAAATATTTAATTTGAACTTACTCATTGTTTATGGTTATGTTTATAGTCATAATTTGAATAGGATATATTTTTAAATGTTTTTAGAGCTTTCAATACTGGCTTTATTCAGAAACTTAAAAAAATCTTTATCAAATTCACTTCATTCAATTTTTAGATATCAGAATCACTTGGTGGCTGCATTCATATTAATCTCATTTTATTTTGAATCCTTTATACTTTCAGGAAGCTAGGGGTTTGAACTCGTGTAAATCATTCTTACACGTTTATAATTGGACAAAGTAAATGAATAAATCATTAATATTATACATCTCATGAGCAGAAAACATGAGTGTTTAACATTGAAGTGAAATGTCGTTGTTGGCCAGTGTACACAAACATACACTGTTCACCTTACAGAATTTCATTTTGTCTGACATAGAGAGTGTTGAGGAAAAGGCAAATATCATAGCAGCTGCTGTAATTGAATTGGCTTCTGAATCATATAAAGCCAGGAAGCCTGACAGTAACATTGTCTAAACCCTTAAAAAAAATATTATGGTGCATGTGATGTGTATCTACTTGAGGCTGAAATGAATGGGCTATTAGAAAAAATTGCTTTTGAGGGGAAAGGGGAAAGTAATGATATTTTAGAAAAACATGCTAAAAATAGAGGTGATTTTTTTCCCTCTTGAAATGTCTTGCTTTCTGTTTTCAAAGGAAGCTTTTAATCCAGTCGTGAAGACTCTCTGGCATTAATTTTTGTCCATTTTTTTCTTCTTTTTTTAAACTTACTTTTACTTTTTGTGAATAAGTAGTTGATGTTTTACTTGATATGTAATACCTGTCAGAATACTGATGTGTATTAGCAGTTGTTTCATAAATACTTTAGTTGTTACTGGGAATAAATATAGCCAGTTTTTTTTTCAATACAAGTGTTTATTTTTTATTTACTTTAACTAATTTTTAAAATTTTTTATATATTTATGGAGTCCAGCATGATGTTTCAATATCTGTATACATTGTGTAATGGTTAAATCAAACCAACTAAGATATTAATCACCTCACATACTTACTTTTTGTGGCAAGAATGTTTAAAATCTATTCTCTTAGCAATTTTCAAATATACAGTACATTTTTATTAACTGTAGTAACAATGCTGTGTAGTAGATCTCCAGAAGCTACTTTTCCTGACTGAAAGTTTATACTTTTTAATATCTATCTATCTATCTATTTATCTATCTATCTATCTATCTATCTATCTATAGTCTGGCTTTGTTCCCTAGGCTGGAGTGCAGTGGTGGAATCATAGTTCACTGCAGCTTTGAAGTCCTGGGCTAAAGCAATTTTCCCACTTCAGCCTCCAGAGTAGCTAGGACTATAGGAATGTACCACAATGCCTGGCCTTTTTTTTTTTTTTTTTTTTTTTGTAGAGATGTGGTCTTGCTGTGTTGCCCTGGCTGGCAAAACTTCATACTTTTTGACCAACACCTCCTGATTCCTACTCCCCGATCCCCAGCCTGTGGTAATCATTATTCTACTCACAATTTCTCTGAGTTGGACTTTTTTAGATTCCATATATAAGTGAGACTGTATAGTATTTTTCTTTCTGTACCTGGCTTATTTCACTTAGCATAATGTCCTCCAGATTTATCCATACTGTTACAAATGGTAGGATTTTATCATGTTCATATTTTAGGAATGGTTGATTATAAAATGTTTTTATAGGTTTGTTTGAAAACCTTTTCTAATTATTTTATCATTCCAGAGGATAATTGTCCTATGTCAAGGTGGCCTTAATTTTTAATTTTTTGTATTTACTTTAAATTATTTACGTCAGTTATTTATACTTATTTACTTTAGAACACTTCAAAAACTAGTCAGAATCCAATTTCCATTGCAGTGTTTGTGAAAGGAAATGAAATGAATTAAAGAATAATTTTTTTAAAAGATGAAATCATGAATCATTCAAATATAAAATGAACACATCTCTGAGATTTTATTTAACTCATTAATGAGGGAAACTGTAATATGTTACAACTAGTTCAAAAGAGAATTCAAGAAACATAGTTATATAGGCAAGAAGGAATGCTGAAATGTCTTAGAGATTTCCTTTATAGAGTTTTTGTTCTGTTAATAAGTAGCCATATAGGCATTATCCTTGTTGTATTTCTTTTCTGTCTTTTAAAGTAGTTACCCACTATTCTCTCTAATTTCTGTTAAATCTATTGCATAGTGAGTCTTTGGATTAGGGCCATTGACACCTAACTCCTTAGGCCTTCTTAAAAGTATATGCTTGCTTTTAGAAATTAAGGGAGAGAGTTGGAAATAGAGGTGGTAGTAAAGGGACTAGTTTCATTTTCCAGGAGAAATATTTAAAATTTAAACCTCTCATGAGCCATTTAGAACTAAAAACAGTTGTAAAATCAAGGGTGAAGTTATAGGAATGCAAAAATGGTAGAGGAGAATGGAAGACAATGGAAAAAGTTGTTTTTTTTTTTTAACTTTTAGTTTTACCATTATTATAAATGTTTAAAATACATGTCAAGATAGAGAATAATTTGAATAGCTTAATGAGCCCCTATTTTTCACCCACTGATATTGAACAGTATAATCCTTTTATACACTTGCTTCATCTGTCCCATCTCTGTTTTTCTCAGAAGTATTTTGATATAAAGCCCAGATATCAGGGCCTTATAGGGGAGGAGAAAATAATTTTCTCTCTATGCTTCATAGTTCTTAGTTGAGATGAACCCCTGTATTAAAAGACAGATTAACAAGAGGGAAATGGAAGCTTTTTAACATGTATACTTCCTGTATACCTGGGAGATACCCATGGAATGAATAATTCTCCAAGAGGTGGCTTTGAGTTCAGGTGTAAATACCATCTTCAACTGAAACTAAGACAGAAAGGTGCAGGGAAAGCCGCCACGTTGTAGAGAGGTGGTCAGGAAAAGCAGTGAGCAAGGGTAAGGTTTGTTATGTAGATTGTACCTTCTTTGTTGATAAGAGTTTCCAGTGATTTAGAGTCATCCTTCTCTTTCTGGTACAGAGAGGGAGACATACTTGCAAATTAGAGATTTCCTTCGTAGATACATATTTCTCTGAGAAAACGGTAACTTCTTCTTCCTGTTTTCAGAACTTCCCCTATGTCTGCTATTGCCCAAAATAATTAGTAGAAAATAACTCTTATGCTAAAGAGGCATATTTGGGGTGGCATAGTCTGGTCTCCTGGAGTCTTATTTTGGAATGATATGTCCTGAACTCCATCAACTTTAGTATGCATTTCAGAAAGTAGTATCATTTTCTTCCATAATCATAACATTATCATGCCTAAGGAAACTCATAGTAATTCCTTAAAATTAAATATTCTGTCTACATCAGATTTCTGTATCTCAGCAGTGTTACAGTTGGCCTGTTTAAATTAGGATACTTCATGATCCACACATTGCATTTGGTCCTTACGTCCCTAAAGTCCTTTTGACTTTAGGACAGTACCCCCCTCCCTTTTGTTTTGTTTGTTTTAAAACTTGTCATTGAATTGGTGAGTACATATAATCCCACATTGTAGATTCTGGATTAACTTGATTGCTTCTTCGTGGTATTTCTAACTTGTTTCTATATATACCTGTAAATAGAGATTAAATTTTGGGAAGGATATTTTATAGGTGATGCAACTAAGCTTCATAGTGCTTTGCATTGGAAGTCTCTTAATACCTGGCTGCCCCACATCTGGTGATGCTGAAGGCCATCAGTGGGTTGGATGGTGATGGCCTGGTTCTTTGTTTGCAAAGGTGGTTTTCTTCCTTGTGGCCAGCAAGTGATTGTGGGGTGATAATTTAGCACCACCCTGCAAATAATCAGTTTTCAAACAACCTGAGAAATGTGTCTTCACGAGAAATCTATGTAGAATCTATTTAGAACTCAGACCAGCCAAATTAACCCTAATGGAATAAAAGATGTTGCAGACACTTTTATCTTATTCAGGAATAGACTTAAGAGGTAGGTAAGAGAGACTTTTAAAAAATCAGAACGGTAAGTGTACAAGAGTTGGAAAAACAGAGTTGAAAGGAAAAATGAGGATAATCTTATTTAAAAGATTATTGAATGTCTAAGTGCCTTTAATAACTCCACAAGGACCCTCATGTAAACAAAATTCAGCAATAGCAACAAAACAAAGCCTCTGAAATGCTCATTGTTCCCCAGTGAGATAAGCTTTAAAGAGCAGAAATACGAAAAACAAAACCAAATCTCAAGTCAAACTTAAAAATGTTACTTTATGGGAGAGGACAGGCAAGGCGGCAAGAACATAGAAGCAGTGCCACCTGAAGCTGGCATGATAAGGTTGATTTAACTGCACTGAAAGTGACAGAATCTGAAAGAACGACTTTACAAATGTAAGATAAATCCATTTCAGAAAATTGTTAAACTTGTGAATTCAACAGAGAAGCTGTAAAACTTTCGGTGGAGGCTGTAAAGAGCAGAATTGATACCTCAGAGCAAAGACTCATTGATGCGGAAGATAGAGGAACATAGCACAACCAAATTAAAATGCCCAAAGCCAAAAAAAAAAAGTCTAAAAAAATGAAAGAATATTGAAAAGGCACCAGGAAATCCAAGCTGCATATAACAATGGGAAAGATACATTTGTACATGTCTTCATTTCTTTGATTGTGGTTTCTATATCATATTTTTTTATTTAGTTAACATTTCTCAAGATGGGTTTTTAGGAGATTCCCAGAGTATCATCCATGGGAAGCCCTGAAATGACAAGCTTAGATATTTAAACTTATGAAGTGTTTAATCTTCATTGCAAAGACAGGCTTTTACAAGCTACCTAGGTAAAAAGGCATACAAGAGTAAGAATGACTCTGGACCTTTCTTTTCATAAGCATAAGGAAGATATTTCTTTCCTCCTAAGTTCTTATACTTCTTGCTGTTGGAGGAAGTGTAAGAGTTTTGGAGGAAAGAAACAAAACAAAAAACAGTGGAACTAATACACTTTGGTATGATATCTACAAAAACTAACTTTTTTTTTTTTTATGGTGGAAGATCCTTAGCAAATGAAACACATAGGACAATATGTCAGTGAAGTTCTTGGTTGCAACAGTGCTCTTTCCAGAATCTACTGACAATCAGGAATTAGATAAAATATACAGTTTTGTTTGTTTAAATATAATTGTAACTAGCTTGCACCCTGCCATTGTTAGAAAACCACAGATCAAGTAAGGAACTACCAAAAAATTCAGCTGAATAATATGAAAAATAAAATTTAAGTGGCATGAGAAACTAAATCCTAAAAAAAGGAATGTATTATTATTATTATTATACTTTAAGTTTTAGGGTACATGTGCACAACATGCAGGTGTGTTACATATATATACATGTGCCATGTTGGTGTGCTGCACCCATTAACTCGTCATTTAACATTAGGTATATCTCCTAATGCTATCCCTCCCTCCTCCTCCCACCCCACAACAGACCCCTGTGTGTGATGTTCCCCTTCCTGTGTCCATGTGTTCTCATTGTTCTGTTCCCACCTATGAGTGAGAACCTGCAGTGTTTAGTTTTTTGTCCTTGCAATAGTTTGCTGAGAATGATGGTTTCCAGCTTTATCCATGTCCCTACAAAGGACATGAACTCATCCTTTTTTATGGCTGCATAGTATTCCATGCTGTATATGTGCCACATTTTCTTAATCCAGTCTATCATTGTTGGACGTTTGGGTTGGTTCCAAGTCTTTGCTATTGTGAATAGTGCTGCAATAAACATACGTGTGCATGTGTCTTTATAGCAGCATGATTTATAATCCTTTAGGTATATACCCAGTAATGCGATGGCTGGGTCAAATGGTATTTCTAGTTCTAGATCCCTGAGGAATCGCCACACTGACTTCCACAATGTTTGAACTAGTTTACAGTCCCACCAACAGTGTAAAGGTGTTCCTATTTCTCCACATCCTCTCCAGCACCTGTAGTTTCCTGACTTTTTAATGATCGCCATTCTAACTGGTGTGAGATGGTATCTCATTGTGGTTTTGATTTGCATTTCTCTGATGGCCAGTGATGATGAGCATTTTTTCATGTGTCTTTTGGCTGCATAAATGTCTTCTTTTGAGAAGTGTCTGTTCATATCCTTCACCCACTTTTTGATGGGGTTGTTTGTTTTTTTCTTGTAAATTTGTTTGAGTTCATTGTAGATTCTGGATATTAGCCCTTTGTCAGTTGAGTAGATTGCAAAAATTTTCTCCCATTCTGTAGGTTGCCTGTTCACTCTGATGGTAGTTTCTTTTGCTGTGCAGAAGCTCTTTAGTTTAATTAGATCCCATTTATCAATTTTGGCTTTTGTTGCCATTGCTTTTGGTGTTTTAGACATGAAGTCCTTGCCCATGCCTATGTCCTGAATGGTATTGCCTAGGTTTTCTTCTAGGGTTTTTATGGTTTTAGGTCTAACATTTAAGTCTTTAATCCATCTTGAATTAATTTTAGTATAAGGTGTAAGGAAGGGATCCAGTTTCAGCTTTCTCCATATGGCTAGCCAGTTTTCCCAGCACCATTTATTAAAGAGGGAATCCTTTCCCCATTTCTTATTTTTGTCAGGTTTGTCAAAGATCAGATAGTTGTAGACATGTGGCATTATTTCTGAGGGCTCTGTTCTGTTCCAATGGTCTATATCTCTGTTTTGGTACCAGTACCATGCTGTTTTGGTTACTGTAGCCTTGTAGTATAGTTTGAAGTCAGGTAGCATGATGCCTCCAGCTTTGTTCTTTTTGCTTAGGATTGACTTGGCAATGAGGGCTCTTTTTTGGTACCATATGAACTTTAAAGTAGTTTTTTCCAATTCTGTGAAGAAAGTCATTGGTAGCTTGATGGGGATGGCATTGAATCTATAAATTACCTTGGGCAGTATGGCCATTTTCACCATATTGATTCTTCCTACCCATGAGCATGGAATGTTCTTCCATTTGTTTGTATCCTCTTTTATTTCCTTGAGCAGTGGTTTGTAGTTCTCCTTGAAGAGGTCCTTCACATCCCTTGTAAGTTGGATTCCTAGCTATTTTATTCTCTTTGAAGCAATTGTGAATGGGAGTTCACTCATGATTTGGCTCTCTGTTTGTCTGTTATTGGTGTATAAGAATGCTTGTGATTTTTGCACATTGATTTTGTATCCTGAGACTTTGCTGAAGTTGCTTATCAGCTTAAGGAGATTTTGGGCTGAGACGATGGGGTTTTCTAGATATACAATCATGTCATCTGCAAACAGGGACAATTTGACTTGCTCTTTTCCTAATTGAATACCCTTTATTTCTTTCTCTTGCCTGATTGCCCTGGCCAGAACTTCCAACACTATGTTGAATAGGAGTGGTGAGAGAGGGCATCCCTGTCTTGTGCCAGTTTTCAAAGGGAATGCTTCCAATTTTTGCCCATTCAGTATGATATTGGCTGTGAGTTTGTCATAAATAGCTCTTACTATTTTGAGATACGTCCCATCAATACCTAATTTATTGAGAGTTTT